>NC_000002.12:227792648-228095678 GCF_000001405.40 Homo sapiens | reverse complement strand
TGTCCCTTCTTTTACTACCAAATTAAAAAAAAATTAAAAAGTATACTATCTCTTCTCTCTAGCTCACGTTTCTTACCATTTTTGCTGAAATTTCTCTTATTAGTGTCACCAAATCTACTGACATGTTTTCACTGCTTATATTACTTAGCTCTTGGTAGAACTGAACTCACACCCCCACACAGCTTCTGAAAATTAGCTATTTCTCCAGGGCTTTAAAAACACTAGTCTCTCTTTAATTCTTCTCCTGCCTTTGGGATCATTACTTTTTTGTCTCTAACCTGAACTTCTGTTTTCCCCACCAGGCACTTTAATGTGATGTTTCCCAAAGATCTGTCCAAAAGCCTGGTTGCTTCTCGCTCACTGCCCTCACTCCATATCCCCTGGTTTCAGCCACGGCTATCTTTTCATAACTACCATCTCTGGACTGTAAACTTGATGCCCAAGTGCCTGTTAGGTATTCCCATCTGCACGTGGCCAAAATGTCCTGTTTCAACATGACTAAAGGTAGATGTCCAAAAATATGTTCTGTCTTTCAAATTTCCCATTTCTATTGACAGTTTTGGAATCTACGGAATCTACACGTTTTTCCAATCTATAATCCTGAGAAACACACTTTCTCCCTCACCCTTCATCTTAAATTGATTATCAAAGCTGTTTTGATTTTGCAATTCTGGCTATGTGTTTTCAGCCCCAGCATCACTATTTTGTTGCTTAAAGCCCCACATATTTCTTCTCAATATTTAAAATGTAAAAACCAAAAGTAAACAAACACAGAAAAAAACAAAAAGACCCCAGCAACCTCAAAAAGTCGCTGGTATCTTTTTCTCCCAAAATCCTCTGCAGCACCTAATTCCGAGATATATTTTAAGGTTACCGTGGTATGAGTAACTGCATTCCTAGTTCCCAACTGCCACCCTCAGCATCACATAATTCCTCCAGGGGCTGCTGAGTCAATCTAGTATCTAATTCAAGACCATGGCTCTTACTTTTTAGTTGAACTGGATATTAATTCCAAAGGAGCTGATTCACCATCTTCATCCTAATTTTTTAAACGGCACGCAAAATGCCAGGCCAATGAAAAACACTTTGACATTGGCACATTTTGACATTGGAAACACTCTTTCAATAATCATCTGTCAGATCCTAGTGATAGGACCAAAATAAAATATCAACTGGTGAATGTATTTGCACCATATGCTAAACAAATAGAATGTACAAGTGTTTTTCTATTCTGCCAAACTAAGTGACTAAGCTTCCATTTGTGAAATCGCAGAACCCAAGAGCTATGATAAACCTGAGAAGATATATTGCCCATTCTACTCATTTTTCAGGTGAGAAAACAAAACAGCAATGAAGAAAAGAGATTTCTCAAGGCCACAGAGTAAATTAGTAGTAAAGCCAGGCCTGAAGCTTAAATCCACTAGCTCTTAGCAGTGAATACATCACTTTTAAAATATTCCGGTTGGTTCCCCGCTCCAAATATTATAATTTTAAGAAAATGTTTCATAAGGTACAATTTATTCATTATAAGATTATCATGTTTATTTGAGGCTTAAGATATTTGCATTATTAATCCATGCTGAAAACCTAAAATTAGTATTATAAAAAAATACCTAGATATTTAGATTGTTGGTTATTCTCAATACCCTCAAGATTCTCACATTTGTATCAATTTTAGAACATTTTTATTACCTCAAAAGAAACTCCACTTTGCTTAGTCATCACTTCCCAGGCATACCATCCTCCTTAGGCCTAGGCAACTGCTAATCTACTTCTTGTCCCAATAGCTTTGTTTTTTTTTTTTTTTTTTTTTTTTTTTGAAACGGAGTCTTGCCCTGTCGCCCAGGCTGGAGTGCAATGGAGTGATCTCGGCTCACTGCAACCTCTCCGCCTCCCGGGTTCAAACGATTCTCCTGCCTCAGCCTCTTGAGTAGCTGAGATTACAGGCACCCGCCACCACTCTCAGCTAATTTTTCCATTTTTAGTAGAGACTGGGTTTCACCATGTTGGCCAGGCTGGTCTTGAAATCCTGACCTAGTGGTCCCCCCACCTCAGCCTCCCAAAGTGCTGTGATTACAGGTATGAGCCACTACACCTGGCTATTTTCTCTTTACATACATTTGTTTACTCATAAAAATGGAATCATACAATATATGGCCTGTTGTGTCTGGATTCTTTCACTTAGCATATTTTCAAGGTGATTCATGTCATATTATGTATCAGTATTGTATTTCTTTTTATTGCTAAGTAATATTGCATTGTGTGGGTTTTGTTCATTCATGAGTTGAGGAAGGTTTGCATTGTTTCTACTTTTTGACTGTTATGAATAATACTGTTATAAACATTTGCATACAAGTTTTGTGTGGACATATAATTTTATTATTCTTTGGTATAAACCAAGAAGTAGAATTGCTGGTACTACTACATATGGTAACTCTATATGTAACTGCCTGAGGAACTGCCAAACTGTTTTCCAAAGCAGCTGCACCATTTTACATTCCCACTAGTGGTATAGGAAGGTTTCGATCTCCCTACTTCACCAAAACTTGTTATTATCTGTCTTTTGGCTTATAGCCTTCCTAGTGAGTGAAGTAACTCATTGTGCTTTTTTATTTTTTTAATTTCCCTAGGTTTGGGGGAACAGTTGGTATTTGGTTACATGAGTAAGTTCTTTAGTGGTGATTTGTGAGATTTTGGTGCACCCATTACCTGAGCAGTATACACTGAACCCAGTTTGTAGTCTCTTATCCCTCAACCTGTTCCCATCCTTTTCCCTGAGTCCCCAAAGAATACTGTATTGTTCTCATGCCTTTGCATCCTCATAGCTTAGCTCCCACTTATGAGTGAGAACATATGATGTTTGGTTTTCCATTTCTAAGTTACTTCACTTCAAAAAATGGTCTCCAGTTCCATCCAGGTTGCTGTGAATGCCATTAATTTGTTTCTTTTTATGGCTGAGTAGTGTTATATATATACATATATATATACACGTATATACATGGCACATGTATATGTATATATATGTATATACATATATACACATATAATATACACATATATATGGCACATATATATGTATATACATATATACACATATAATATACACATATATATGGCACATATACACATATATATGGCACATATATGTATACATATATATGGCACATATATGTATACATATATATGGCACATATATGTATACATATATATGGCACATATATGTATACATATATATGGCACATATATACATATATGTATATATGTATATATGTGTATATGTGTATATATGTATATATGTATATCTGTATGTATATGTGTGTATATATGTATACACACACATACACGTGTGTGTGTACGTATACACACACATACACGTGTGTGTGCACGTATACACGCACATACACGTGTGTGTGTACGTATACACACATATACACGTGTGTATACATGTGTGTATATATGTGTGTATATATGTGTGTATGCATGTGTATGCATGTACACACATGTGTGTGTACACACATATATGTATATGTATATATGTGTACACACATATACGTATATGTATATATGTGTATATATACATATATACACACATATATATACATATATAGACATATATATGTTGCACAATTTCTTTATCCACTTATTGATTGATGGGCATTTGGGCTGGTTTTGTATTTTTGCAACTGAGAATTGTGCTGCTGTAAACATGCGTGTTCAAGTATCATTTTTGTATGGTGACTTCTTTTCCTCTGGGTAGATACCCAGTAGTGGGATTGCTGGATCAAATGGTAGTTCTACTTTTAGTTCTTTAAGGACTCTCCACACTGTTTTCAATAGTGGTTGTACTAGTTCACATTCTCACTAGCAGTGTAGTAGTGTTCCCTTTTCACCACATTTATGCCAACATCTATTTTTTTTTATTTTTTGATTATGGCCATTCTTGCAGGAGTAAGGTGGTATCACATTGTGGTTTTGATTTGCATTTCCCTGATCCTTAGTGATGTCGAGCATTTTTTAAAAATGTTTCTTGGCCATTTGTATATCTTCTTTTCAGAATTGTCTATTTATGTCCTTAGCACACTTTTCAATGGGATTGTTTGCTTTTTTCTTGCTAATTTTGTTTGAGTTCCTTGTAGATTCTGGATTTTAGTCTTTGTCAGGTGTATAGATTGTGAAGATTTTCTCCCGCTTTGTGGGTTGTCTGTTTATTCTGCTGACTATTCCTTTTGCTGTGCAGAAGTACTTTAGTTTAACTAAGTCACACCTATTTATCTTTGTTTTCATTGCATTTGCTTTTGGGTTGTTGGTCATGAGGTCTTTGCCTAAGCCAATGTCTAGAACGGGTTTTCCAATGTTATCTTCTAGAATTTTCATAGTTTGAGGTCTTAGTTTTAAGTCTTTAATCCATCTTGAGTTGACCTCTATTTTTTGTTTTAAAGTTTATTTTGTTTGATATTAGTATAGTCACTCTAGCTTTCTAATTCTTGCTTTTTGCATGTTTTTTATTTTTAATCTGTTTTTATCCTTTTACTTTCAACCTATTTATATCCTTCAAACTCCACTGTGTCTCTTATTCACACCACATAATAGCATATTACTTTTTATCCAGTATTACAAACTCTGACTTTTGATTGGACTGTTTACTCTAGCTGCATGTTACTACTATTTTTAATATAGATGAATTACAGCTGCCATATGTATTAGTCTGCTCTTCTGTCATTATAAAGGAATACCTGAGACTGGGTAATTTATCAAGAAGAGAGATTTAATTGGCTCACAGTTCTGCAGGCTAAATAGGAAGCATGGTGCTGGCATCTGCTCCCCTTCAGGTGAGGCCTCAGATAGCTTACAATCATGGCAGAAGGCAAAGAGGAAGCCAGCACATTGCATGATAAGAGACAGAACAAGCTAGGGGGTGCTCATCCTTTGAAAAAAAAAAAGATCTCACATGAACTGAGTGAGAACTTGAACTCACTCATCATCAAGGAGTTGGCACTAAGCCATTGATGAAGAATCTGCCCCCAAACCAAAACACCTCCCACAACACTCTACCTCCAACACTGGGAATTACATTTCAACATGAGATTTGGAAGGGATAAACATCCAAACTATATCATTCTGCCCCTAGCCCCCAAAATCTCATATCCTTCTCACATTGAAAAATGCAATCATCACTTTCCAATAGTCCCCAAAAGTCTCAACTCATTTCAGCATCAACTCGAAGTCCAGTGTCCAAAGTCTCTTCTGAGACTCAAGGCCAAGTTGTTTCCAGCTATGAGCCTGTAAAATCAAAAACAAGTTATTTACTTCCAAGATACAATGGAGGTACAGACATTGGGTAAACATTCCTACGCCAAAAAGGAGAAATTGTCCAAAAGAAGGGGGTAATAGGCCTCATGTAAGTCTGAATCCCAGCAAGGCAGGCATTAAGTCTTAAGATTCCAACATAATCCTTGATTTTATGTCCTGCTGCAAGGGGTGGGCTCTTATGGCCTTTGGCAGCTCCACTCCTGTGGCTTTGCAGGGTGCAGCCCCCATGGCTACTCTCACAGGTTATAGTTGAGTGCCTACAGTTTTTCCATGCTGAGGTTACAAGACGCTGGCGACTCTACCATTCTTGAGTCTGGAGGACAGCAACCCCCTTCCCACAGTTCCATTAGGCAGTTCCTTGGTGGGGACTCTGTATGGTGACTTCAATCCCACATTTCCCTTCAGCACTTCACAAGTAGAGTTTCTCTGGGTGCTTCTGGTAAGGCCTTCTGCCTCTGGGTACCCAGGCTTTCCCATACATCCTCTGGAATCTAGGTGGAAGATGGCAACCCTCCTTCACTGTTGCATTCTGTGCACCTGCAGACTTAACACAACATGGAAGCTGCCAAGGCTTACAGCAGCTTACATTCTCCAAAGCAGCAACCAGAGATGTCCCTGGGGCCCTTTGATGTGGCTGGTGCAGAGAGGCAGGGATGTAGGGAGCAGTATTCTAAGGCTGAGCAGGGCAGTGGTGCCCTGTGCCTGCCCCTGAAGCCTTTCTTTCCTCCTAGGCCTCTGGGCCTGTGATGGGAAGAGCTTCCTCAAAGATTTCTAAAATTGCTTCAAGGCATTTTTTCCTTGGATATTAGCATTTGGCTTCCTTTTTGTCATGCTAATCTCTTTAGCAGGTGGTTCTTCCACAGCCTGCTTGGATTCTTTCTGTACCACTGGGTCAGTCTGCAAATTTTCCAAACTTTTCTGCTCTGCTTCCCTTTTAAATATGAGTTTCAACTTTAAGTCATTCCTTTGCCCCTGCATCTAACTGTAGGCTGTTAGAAGCAGTCATGCTGCCACTTGAACACTTTGCTCCTCACAAATTTCTTCTGTCAGATACCCTACATCATCACTCTTAAGTTCATACTTTCACAAGTCCCTAGAGCATGGACACAATGCAGCCAAGTTCTTTGCTAGGGCATAACAAGTGTGACCTTTGCTCCATTTCCCAATAACTTTCTTATTTGCATCTGAGGCCTCCTCAGCCTGGGCTTCTCTGTCCATATTTCTATCAGTATTTTGGTCACAACCACTCAACAATTGTCTAAGAACTTGCAAACTTTCCAAACTCATTTTCCTGTCTTCTTCTGAGCCCTCTCAACTTTTCCCACCTGTTCCCATTACCCAGTTCCAAAAATGCTTTCACATTTTTAGGTATCTTTATAGCAATGCCCCACTCCTTAGTGCCAATTTTCTGTGTCAGTCCATTTGTGTTGCCATAAAAGAATACTTGAGACTAGGTAATTTATAAAGAAGAGAGGTTTTAATTGGATCATATTTCTATAGGCTGTACAGGAAGCATGGCCCTGGTATATGCTCAGCTTCTGGTGAGGCCTTAAGAAGCTTACAATCATGGCAGAAGGTAAAAGAGAGCCAGTGCATCACATGGCAAGAGAGAAGAGGGAGGTGCCATGCTCTTTTAAACAACCAGATCTCATATAAACTGAGAACTCACTCATCACTAAGTAGATGGTGCTAAGCCATTCATGAGGGATTCACCTCCATGACCCAAACACCTCCAACAAGGCTCCTTCTCCAACATTGGAAATTACATTTCACCATGAGATTTGGAGAGGATAAACATCCAAACTATATTGCTTAGTACTTCTTGATTTTTATATGTCTCGTATTATGTTTGTTCCTGTACTCCTGCTTAACTTCTTTCTTTTGTGTGAAGTGAATATTTTCTAGTGTAACATTTTAGTTTCTAGAGCAATTTTTACTGTATTTTTAAAATATTTTCTTAGTGGTTGCTGTAATACTTACCATTTACAATTTAACACCCCAAAATACATGGTATACATAACACTTTAGATATATATAAACTTATTTCTAGAAAGATAGAAATGTTACTTCTCATTTATGTGTTTTTAATGTTATTAATACTACATCTATATATATTCCAAATTCAACAGTACATTATTATAATTTTATGCCTATTAAAGAATCCAAGAAAAGAATAGAGAGGAAGTATATATTTACAGAATTTTTTATATTTACAATTTGTGGGTCTCTCTCACTTTTCTTGTGATTTTATTTTACCTGGTCTCATTTTCTTCACTGCAGTACAACTCAGTTCTATCCCCTTTCTTTGTGATGTTTTTGTCAAATGTATTACATAGAAATGTAATATGAAATGTACAATAGAAATGTGTATGTTATAGGTCTAAGAATACAACTTATGCATATTCTTTTTAAAATATTGCTTTTTGAAACAGCTGAGAAAAGAAAACTATGCATTTTTCAGTAAGTCTGTAGGTTTTAGATATTATTTCTTTCAAATATTTGCCGCTCCTCTCTCTTTCTCCTCTCTCTCTGATATTCCCATTGTATGTAGTTGGTGAACTTAAAGTATGCCACATTTCTCAAAGTCTCTGTTCATTCTATTTTTTCTCTGTTTTACAGGTTGCATATCCCTGTCAATCTCTCTTTAAGTTCACTGATTATTTCTTCTGCCAGTTCAAATCTACTGTTGAGCTCTCCTATTAAATTTTTCATTTTATTATACTTTTCAATTCCAGAATTTTCATATGGCTCTTTTAAATAATTTCTCTCTTTTTATTTATATATTCTTTATCTGATGAAACATCGCCCTCATACTTACCTTTTTTTCTTTAAGCACCATTTCCTTTAGTTCTTTGAACATATTTGTAGCAGCTATTTTGAAGTCCTTGTCTGTTAAAGCTGACATCTCACAGTCAGCTTCTGTTGCCTGCTATTTTTTCTTGCATATGGGTTACATGTTCTTATTTCTTTGCATGTCTCATAATTTTTTTTGATTAAAAACTGAACATCTTAGATAACATATTGTCTTTATCTAACAACTCTGGGTACTGACTCCATTCCGTTCTCTCTAGGCCTTGTTTTGTTGTTCCTTAATTTTTCATTTGCTTTGTAATTTGGCTAGGTTATTTTAGTGAAGTCTATTTCCCCAATGCAGTGTGAAGCCTTTGGTATCATTCCTCAGAGGACATAGCCTTGAAACTTTGTACAACCACCTAGGATGACACTGGTCTTAGCATGGGTCTCTTTGACTGTCTTTCCTCCATCTTTCTTTTTTGGCTGTCTAGTTCATTTGGTATTATGCCCCTGAATGTTTGACCTCACTATTTGCCAGGTGATTGTGCTATCATTGTTTTCAACAATGCCCTGGGCTATAAATTGCTCAGCAGTCTGATCCAATTAAATTTCAGCAAGGGTTACTTTTGGAGCTAGCCTTTGAGTTTTGTTCTGACCCCCTGAGGGCTCTTCTTAGCTGTTTCATTCCCTGGTTCTCTTTAGGGCACTAGCTGGCCAATGGCTTAATTTGCTGCTCTTAATTAACTGGGGCTATTGTTTTTGAGAGAACCCTTAGGCTTGAACTTTCCCAGACTCCGTTTCAAATACACTTAGTTCCTTTGAGGAGAGCTTCAGAGATCTCTTTCACAGACTATCTTTCCTCCTGGGCAAACTCTCTGAACCACTACTCTGGTCATGAGGTAGACTGGTATCCTCCGAGGTCCGGTTTGACTTTCTTAGTGTGGAACCTCTTCCCTCGAGCAAATTTGAGTGAGGGTGGTCATGGCATTCTTATCCTGAAATATCTAGGGTGGTACCTCAATCTTATCGGTAGGACCTATATGAAAAAAAGGAGTCCCCAGCTTCTTGGCTTCACTCATTGAGAATTTAGTATCTTCAATTTGGAGCTAAAAGGGATGAGAAATGTGAGTAGCCTCTGCTTCCCAGTGAGATACAGTAATTCTTGGTTGGGAGCTGAGGGGAGAGAAAGCACCACCTTCTTAGATGCCCAAATGGAGCTTCTGTCAAGTTGTGCTGGGAAGAGGGGAGGCAGGGGAAAGAAGGGAGTGGGTTGTGGTTTAACTTTCACAGACTATCTCTTCTAGCGGAGTTTTAGTAGATTTTCTTGAATAAATATTTCTTCATTTTCTATATGCCCTTAGTGAAATTTCTAGATAATTATAATACTTGTTTTCATAATTTTTGCCAATTTTTTTTTGTTGTTTCACTGGGAAGCTTGTCCTAAGAGCTCTTCATACTGTCACTCCAGACCTGAAACTCACTACTTTCTCCATTTCCAGTTCTTTTCACTTCATATTACATGCCTGGCCTTTGGAGATGTTTGGGTTTATAACTGAGGCAGGGTTTGTAAACATAGAGTCCACAGTTTCATGTCTTCTGTTAGAGGTAGTGTAATATCCTTTAGCATTTAGCCTCATTGAGGATATGGCTGACCTCTTTCATGAAAGTTAAGGCATCTAATGTCAATGAGGAAGAACATCTCATTTTTGCATAAAGTTGACAAGTGAGTATTTGTGAAAAGAGGCAAGATTTTCTCTCAGAAAAAAAAAACTCAGGGTTCCTTATAATACATGGAGTCCAACTTCAAAAGGTGCTTTTGTTAGTCTTAATCTGAAAACCTGTAACGGAGGTCACTTAATGTGCAGAGAAGCCATTAAAAGCCTTTTTCAACAGTATTGATTGTTTAACTTTAAAAATGCAATTTCAAGATAAGCCCATGAAATAAATTGTTTGTAAAATGTTGCCCTTAATATGACATGTGTTGACCTGTAATACAATTGTCAGCTAAAAGCTACTTAGACATTAAAGGAGAATTGTCAAAGGGTGTTAAATGTTGAATAGCTAAAATTGAGTCATTCTCTGTAGTACCAACTGGACAGAAGACCAAATTGTCTATTGATGCTGTTCGTTTTTTCCAACATAATCATGTCATTGGCCTACAAGAGAGCTTAGTCCTATATCCTTGAAGTCATCAGAATGTTTACATATTTTCAACCAGAAATCCATGGATGAATATATCTGTATCAAAGAAAATTTACTGCAATTCTTGTCTAATAACGATAAGTCATGTGAGGTAGGTACAGGCAAACAAAAATAAACCTGACATTAAAGTTAACAGTGATATTTATTACTACAAATTCCCAAGTGACTTTACTATGTGAGCTCAAAATTTTAAGACCCTTTCCAAATGCTTATTCATTGTTCTTCACAGTGCAGTGTCAGAAGAAAGTGATATTTTGCTTAATTAATGAGAACAGCATGATTTTTCTGCCTTTATGTATACATTTTACACTGACCTTCAGCATGGTGTTCTGTTAACTCAGCAGATCGCTGCTGTTCTGGCACTTAGTCTGTGAAACGCATTCTGTTGAATTACCTAAGAGGTGAAAGAACTAGAGGTGTATTTTTGGTTTATCTCAGTAACAGCAAAGGAAATTCATCAATCAATGCCACAGGCTTCAAACCACTCTTATGACAACTCAATTTTATTGACTATTTTTCTTCCTTTGGTAAATTTGTCTGCAAAGATGCATTTTTTCTCTGTTCAATCCAGCCCTTTCTCATTCTTCACCTAAGCAGAGATCCCTTTGATCTAAAGAACAAGGAATGGCCAAAACACACTGGACTCAAGCCTTGTTCATGTGCCTGGAAACAAAAGGGGAAATTAATTTGCTTAGGGAAAGTTCACTTGGGTTTTTAGCATATGAAAGCACTTCTCAAAATTAATCAATGGTGAACATTTCAGAGATGGCCTAAAACAAAGCTCCACAGGACATTTAAGATGATAAAAAATTAATGGATTCCTGTGGTGCATGAAAATTTACATCACATCATTTGTTTGAAAACAAAACAAAACTTATACCATTTATAATAAACAATATTTATATATAAATGTATAAAAACATGAAGTGAATGGATCTATTTTCTTAGTTTGTTAATAATTATAGGAAAAATTTATGCAGCCTTTAGACTTAGCGATTTTCAGTTGTGCAGAGATGACCTTTCGGTTTGTAGTCATGTTCTACTGTTGATATAACCATTATTAACTATAGTAATATTTGGAATATAACTTTTTAATACTAATTATTAATGTCAAGAGGCCATTATGAACATGCACTGCCTATGAAAGATGAAATGGGCTTGGATTTTCCAGTCATTCCTTTGAGAGGCAGATGACAGAAGGTTTTTTAAACACCATTGCATTCTAGAAGCCTCCTCTAGTAGGCATCATTTCTTTTTTTTTTTTTCTTCTTCTTTTTTACTTTAAGTTCTGGGTGGTACATGTGTAGAACGTGCAGGTTTGTTACATAGGTATACGTGTGCCATGGCGGTTTGCTGCCCATATCAACCCGTCATCTGGGTTTAAAACCCGCATCCAGTAGATATTTGTCCTAATGCCCTCCCTCCCCTTGCCCTGCACCCCACAACAGGCCCCAGTGTGTGATATCCCCCTCCCTGTGTCCATATGTTCTCATTGTTCCACTCCCACTTATGAGTGAGAACATGTGGTGTTTGGTTTTCTGTTCCTGTGTTAGTTTGCTGAGAATGATGGCTTCCAGCTTCATCCATGTCCCAGCAAAGGACATGATCTCATTTATTTCATGGCTGCATAATATTCCATGGTGTATATGTGCCACATTTTCTTTATCCAGTCTATCACTGATGGGCATTTGGGTTGGTTCCAAGTCTTTGCTATTGTGAATAGTGCTGCAATAAACATACGTGTGCATGTGTCTTTATAGTAGCATGATTTATAATCCTTTGGGTATATACTCAGTAATGGGATTGCTGGGTCAAATGGTATTTCTGGTTCTAGATCCTAGATGACCATCAAAAAGTGGGCAAAGGATATGAACAGACACTTGTCAAAAGAAGATATTTATGCGGCCAAAAAACATAGAAAAAAAGCTTATCAACACCGGTCATCAGAGAAATGCAAATCAAAATCACAAGGAGATACCATTTCACACCAGTCAAATGGCAATTATTAAAAAGCCAGGAAACAACAGATGCTGGTGAGTCTGTGGAGAAATAGGAACACTTGTACACTGTTGGTGGGAATATAAATTAGTTCAGCCATTCTGGCATCATTTCTTAAGGTGACAAGACACTGCCCATTGTTTTACTCAGGCTTAGAAATGTGTAGGAAGAGTGAAAGGAGGTAATATACCCCATCTATTGCTTTCTTTTTTTCTTTCTTATTTTGCTTTTCAGTAAGCTTTCTTGGGTTGAGAGGTTTATTTTTTCTTTGAGGAAACAACTTTCCTATATTAACAAGTGAAATAGTGAATAGATTATCTGTACTGAGAAGTTCTGTATGAAGTAATGAGCTTCCTCATAAAGAAATTGTTCAAACAGAGGCAGAGTGAACACAGAGCCATGATATCACAGAGGTGGAGGGTGGTGCACTAAATGACTTCTGTGGAATCTTCCACTCCTAATTTATGTGACTTCATGAATCACTTCAATTAAAAAAAGAGTTGATATTTACTTAATATTTCCGGTCTGCCAGAATCTCTCCTAAGCACATTAGGTGGATTCATTAATTCCGACAGCATCTCTGAGGGGTAAAGAGTATTATTTTCTTCTGGGAAGGCTAACTTGAATGATGCAACTGAGTCATACAGCTAGTAAATAGTGGAGCCAAGAATAATCCACCCAGGGGTCCAGTGTCCCAGCCTTTCTTGCACTGTCTTCACACTATTTATACCCATTTTTAGCCCTGTGACTTCGTGGTGACTGAACAATATCCTTGTTCCTTTTTATACAAAGACAGAGGATCCCTTAATTATAAAAGTGACTGTTTAGCGATTTCACAAATGCACATGCTTTTTATTGCTACCATTTTAGATGCCTTCCTGAGAATTTTTCTGCCCACTTATCACCTGTTAATAACAACTTTATCTACTTACATAATGCTTTAGTTTACAAAGTACTTTGACTAATATTTCTCCCTAAGGTTTTACAGCAACCCCATGAAGTAGCTGGAATACATATTGTAAGTGAAGAAATGTGCATGGTTGTTGAAAGGTTAAATGCTTGTCCAGGATTATAAAGCGATGAAATCTGAGCCTGAACTCAGGTCTTCCAGTTACAAATGCCAAGCAATCTCCTCCCGGCCATGTCACCTGCCAACTAATGGATTAATTGGGAAAATGAAATCTTATGATTTCATATCCTTGATTTTCTAGAAAAGCAGCTGGCAAAATACAGTCCTTGAACCAAATCTGGGCCACTGCCTGTTTTGTAAATAGAGTATTTATTTGTTTTTTAAATTGGTAAATAAAAATCGTACTTATTCATCATGTACAACGTGCTGTTTTGATATATGTCTACATTGTGGAAAGGCTAAATTAAGCTATTAATATACACATTACCTCACATTGTTGGGTTTTTTTTGGTAGTGAGAACTCTTGAAATTTACTTTCTTAGCAATTTTCAGGAATACGACACATTGTTATTAACTACAGTCATCATCTTCTACAATAGATTTCTTGAACTTATTCCTTCTTTGTAACTAAAATTTTGTGTCCTTTGACCAACATCTTCTCAACCCCACCCTCATTCTCAGCCCCTGGTAACCACCATTCTAATCCCTACTTACATGAATTTAACGTTTTAAAACTCTACACATCAGCAAAATTAAGTGGTGTTTGCCTTTCTATGCCTGGCTTATTTATACTTAATATCCTCCAGGTTCATCCATGTTGCCCCAAGTGAGAGTATTTCCTTCTTTCTTTAAGGCTGAGTAGTATTCCATTAAGTATACATACCACATTTTCTTTATCCATTCATTCACTGATAGACACTTAGGGTAATTCCATTTCTTAGCTATCATGAATAATACTGTAATAAACATGGAATTGCAGGTATCTCTTTGACATACTTATTTCATACCCTTTGGATTGTGAACGAAAAGTATATGAAACAGATCTCTATCAGTTTACAAATTTATTTTGACAAGGTTAAGGACATGCCTAGAAGAAAAGAACATGGAATCAAACAGTCTGTGGTCTGTGCCTTTCTCCAAAGATGATTTTGAGGGCTTCAATATTTAAAGGGGAAAAGCAGGCTGGAGGGGAAAGAGAGAGGGTACAATAATCCATGTGTTGCAAGAGAAAAGGAGTAGGTGGGAGAATAGTCAATTGTGTATTTCTTGCACTCAGCACTTTACATAAGATAAGGTGAACATAGAGTAGCTACCTGTGGAGATATATAACCTTTTCTCTGCAGCTGTTGGCTTAGGAACAAAAGGAAAGGCAGCTTCTTGCATGACTCAGCTTTCAGCTTAATATTTTTTTTTCCTTTTGGCAGAGTGAAATAGGGTTCTGAGTTTTTATCTTCCTTTCTGAGGATACACACCCAGTAGTAAGATTTTTGGATTATATGGTAATTCTATTTTTAATTTTTTGAGGAACCTCCATACTGTTTTCCATAATAGCTGTACATTCCCAACAACTGTGTACAAGGGTTCTAATTTCTCCACATCCTCTCCAACACTTGCTATCTTTTGTCTTTTTGATAATAGCCATTCTAACAGGTGTGAGATGATACATCATTGTGGTTTGGTTTTATTTTATTTTATTTTATTTTATTTTATTTTATTTTATTTTATTTTATTTTATTTTATTTTATTTTATTTTATTTTGAGACAGAGTTTCACTCTTTTTGGCCAAGCTGGAGTGCAATGGAGTCATCACGGCTCACTGCAACCTCTGCCTCCTGGGTTTAAGTGATTCTCCTGCCTCAGCCTCCTGAGTAGCTGGGATTACAAGTGCCCACCAACATGCCCAGCTAATTTTTTGTACTTTTAGTAGAGATGGGGTTTGCCATGTTGGCCAGGCTGGTCTCAAACACTTAACCTCAGCTGATCCACCTACCTTGGCCTCCCAAAGTGCTGGGACTACTGGCGTGAGCCACCACACCTGGACATCATTGTGGTTTTAATGCATTTCTCTGATTATTAGGAATGTTAAGCATTTTTTGTTCATATACTTGTTGTCCATTTGTATGTCTTATTTTGACAAATGTCTATTTATATTATTTGTCAATTTTTAAATTGGGTTATTTGTTTTCTTACTATTGAATTGTTTGAGTTCTTTATATATTTTGGGTATTAACCCCATTAGACGCATGATCTGCAAATATGTTCTCCCACTCCATATGTTGTCTCTTCACTCTGTTGATTGTTTCCTTGGCGGTGCAGAAGCTTTTTAGTTTGATGTAATTCTATTTGTCTATTTTTGCTTTTGTTACCTATGCTCTTGGGTTCATATAAAAAAAAAAACATTGTTACTTCAAGTAACAATGCTTTTGTTTACTTCAAGTAGTTTTACAGTTTTAGGTCTTACATTTTAATCATTAATCCATTTTGAGTTTAGTTTTGTCTATGGTGTGAGATAAGGGTCTAATTTCATTATTTTGCCTGTGGATATGCACATGGCGTGGTTTGAGGGAGGCCTTGCTGCTAGCGTTTAGGGGCTGGCTGGCCTGTGCCTGAATCAGCAGACAGGTAGGCCTTGAGCCTGGGTCCATAAGGATGGGCCAGAGGCCAGGATCCACTGGGGTGAACCTGATGATTAGGTTTGTGTGGATGGGTTTGGAGCCTGGGTATACGAAGATGGGCCTGCAGCCTATATTCAAGGGGACTTGCTGAACCCTAGGTCCACAGGGGCTGACCTGGAGCTGGTGGGCCTTGAGCCTGAGTCTGCAGGGGCTGGTCAGGCACTGGAATGGCCCTGGCACATGCATCCACCGGGGTAGGCCTAGAGCTTGAGTTCACAAAGGTTGGCCCAGTGATGGGAAAGGCCTGGAGCTTGAGTCCCTGGGGATAGGTCTAGGCCTGCAGCCTGGATCTTGCAGGAGTGGTCTTGGAACCTCACTCCATGGGGTCCAGCCTGCCACTAGGGTCTACTGGAGCAGACCTGAAGCCTGGGGCCATAGGCGCCAGCCTAGTGCTGTGGGCCAGGGATCCCCAACCCCAGAGCCATGGACCCATACCAATTGGTGACCTGTTAGGAACCAGGCCATGCAACAGGAGGTGAGTGGCAGGCAAGCAAGCATTATCGCCTGAGCTCTGCCTCCTGTCAGATCAGCAGCAACATTTGATTCTTAGAAGAGCACAAACCCTATCATGAACTGCATATGCGAGGGATCTAGATTGCGCACTCTTCATGAGAATCTAATGCCTGATGATTTGAGGTGGAACAGTTTCATCCTGAAACCATTTCCCACCACACCCCTAAGCCCCACCTCCCCTTGACCTTCCATGAAAAAATTATTTTTCACAAAACCAGTCCCTGGTGCCAAAAAGGTTGGGGATCACTGCTGTGGCCGTTAGGGTCAGCCTGGTAATGCAGAGGCCCAAACACTGAGTCTGTGACATAGGCCTAAAGCCTGGGGCTGGGGGATCCTGCCAGGTTCTGGAGGGTGCCTGGAGGCTCCGTTCGTGGGTACTGGCCTAGAGTCTGGGGCTGTGGGGGTTTTACTTGGAGGGGCCTGGTTTTGAGGTCTGAGGCAAAGGCTGGTGCTCACTTCCCTCTCATTCTCCTACTCAGTGGGTATCTCTCTCCACTCTATGCTGCCTGGAGTTGGGTGATGTGAGTAATGTCACACTGTCCTTCCTACACAGTTCCATGTGTCTTTTCTTATTTCTTATTTCTCTGCTACATGGGGATGCTGTAATCTCTCACCTGGTCTCCATAGCTCTTGTGAAGGTATTTTTGTGTGTGGAAAGTTGTTTGACTTGATGTTTCTGTAGGTGTAGGAGTGTTAAAGAGTCCTATTCCACCATCTTGTTGGCATCTCTTTGTTAATAAAGTTTTATTGAGATACAGTCACACCACTAATTTACTTATTGTCTACGACTCCTACACCACCACCACAGAAGAGTTAAATAAATGCACCAGAGGCCTTACGGTGTGTATGTTGAAAATACTTACTACATGGTCCCTTACAAAAAAAAAAAAAAAAAAAGTCTGCCAACATCTGTTCTAGAGCAAATAGCCAACACTTTGAAAGATAAATACTACTTCTCTGTGTTGATGGTTTGGTATGGACAAACACAAGACTATTCTTGCTAAATCTGAGGAATCTCTCAGGTCCTTTTTGCATCAAGTGTTTGAAGTACTTCACTTACAGTCATTGAGACTTTAATTGGCTGGTCTCTTTTATTAGTCCATTTTCATGCTGCTGATACAGACATACCTGAGACTGGGTAATTTATGTAGGAAAAAGGGTTTATTGGACTTACAGTTCCAGTGGCTGGAGAGGCCTCATAATCATGACAGAAAGCAAGGAGGAGCAAGTCACACCTTATGTGGATGGCAGCAGGCAAAGGGGGCTTGTGCAGGGAAACTCCCATTTTTAAAACCATCAGATCTTGTGAGACTCATTCACTGACATGAGAACAGTGCAGGAAAGACCCGCTCCCATAATTCAATCACCTCCCACTGGGTTCCTCCCACAACACGTGGGAATTGTAGGAGTTACAATTCAAGATGAGATTTGGGTGGGGACACAGCCAAACTATATCATTCTGCTCCTGGTTCTTCCTAAATCTCATGTCCTCACATTTCAAAACCAATCATGCCTTCCCAACAGTCCCCCAAAACCTTAACTCATTTCAGCACTAACTCAAAAGTCCACAGTCCAAAGTCTCATCTGAGACAGGGCAAATCCCCTCCACCTATGAGCCTGTAAAATCAAAAGCAAGTTAGTTATTTCCTATATACAATGAGGGTACAGCCACTGGGTAAATACTGCCATTCCAAACTGGAGAAATTGGCCAAAACAAAGGGGCTACAGGCCCCATGCAAGTCTGAAATCCAGCAGGGCAGTCAAATCTTCAAGTTCCAATATGGTCTCCTTTGACTCCATGTCTCACATCCAGGTCACACTGATGCAAGAGGTGGGTTCCTATGGTCTTGGACACCTCTTCCCCTGTGGCTTTGCCAGGTACAGCCTCCCTCCTGGCTGCTTTCATGGGCTGGCATTGAGTGTCTGCGGCTTTTCCAGGTGCACAGTGCAAGCTGTCCGTGGACAGTGGGGTCTGGAAGACAGTGGCCCTCTTCTCACAGCTCCACTAGGTGGTGCCCCAGTAGGGACTCTGTGGGGGTGGGGGAGGCTCTGACCCCACATTTCTCTTCCACACTGCCCTAGCAGAGGTTCTCCATGAGGACCTCGCCCCTACAGCAAACATACATCTGAAATCTAAGCGGAGGTTCCCAAACCTCAATTCTTGACTTCTGTGCACTCACAGACTCAACATCATGTGGAAGCTGCCAAGGCTTGAGGCTTGCACCCTCTGAAGCAACAACCTGAGCCCTACATTGGCCCCTTTCAGCTACAGCTAGAGCAGCTGGGATGCAGGGCACCAAGACTCTAGGCTGCACATAGCAGGGAGACCCTGGGCCAGTCCCACAAAACCACGTTTTCCTTCTAGACCTCAGGGTCTGTGATAGGAGGGACTGCTGCATAGGTCTCTGACATGCCCTGGAGACATTTTCCCTGTTGTCTTGGTGATTAACATTTGGCTTCTTGTTACTTATGCAAATTTCTGCAGCCAGCTGGATTTCTTCTCAGAAAATGGGATTTTCTTTTCTATTGCATTGTCAGGCTGTGAATTTTCCAAACTTTTATGCTCTGTTTCTCTTTTGGCACTGAATGCCTTTAACAGTACCCAAGTCACCTCTTCAATGCTTTGCTGCTTAGAAATTTCTTCCACCAGATACCCTAAATCATCTCCCTCAAGTTCAAAGTTCCACCAATCTCTAGGGCAGGGCAAAATGTCCCCAGTCTCTTTGCTAAAATAACACAAGAGTCACCTTTGCTCCAATTCCCAACAAGTTCCTCATCTCCACCTGAAACCACCTCAGCCTGGATTTCATTGTCCATGTTATTATCAGCATTTTGGTCAAAGTCATTCAACAAGTCTCTAGGGAGTTCCAAACTTTCCCACATTTTCCTGTCTTCTTCTGAGCCTTCCAAACTGTTCCAACCTCTGCCTGTTACCCAGTTCCAAAGTTGCTTCCACATTCTCAGATATCTTTTCAGCAGCACTTCGCTCTACTGGTAACAATTTACTGTATTAGTCCGTATTCATACTGCTGATAAAGACACACCTGAGACTGGGTAATTTATACAGGAAAAAGTGTTTATTAAACTTACAGTTCCAGTGGTGGGGGAGGCCTCATAATCATGGCAGAAGGCAAGGAGGAGCAAGTCACATCTTATGTGGATGGCAGCAGGCAAAGAGGGCTTGTGCAGGGAAACTCCCATTTTTAGAATTATCAGACCTCATGAGACTCATTCACTATCATGAGAACATGCAGAAAAGACCTGCCCCCATAATTCAATCACCTCCCACTGTGTTCCTCTCACAACACGAGGGAATTGTGGGAGTTACAATTCAAGATGAGATTTGAGTGAGGACACAGCCAACCCATGTCATCTCTGATTCCCATTACTTAAGTGTATGATTTGTTTTGAAATTTTTATCAAAACAACCTTTTCATAACAATTTTGTATATATCCTCCTATTGTAGTTTCACTTTAGTAAAGGCTTTCTTTCCTTCATCTATTAGCTGCTTCTAATTTAACTACTCAAAGTGTCCTAAGAAATTACATGTTTTGCAGCATTTCCGCATGACTTACATCTGAGAATGAGAGAGAAACATTGCTTTTTCTTTTCCTTCTGAAGAGTAATCCGGCATCATTTTCAAGAATGATACTGGTTCCTACATAAATCTAGCTTTTTTTCTCTAAACTGTAATTACTAACAGTATTTTTAGTCCTATAAGCCCTAATTTGCCATCCCATTTTACTGTAGCCTGTTACAACCTACTAGAAATTTCAAAAGCTACTCAAAAGATTCGATGCATGGTTTGCAATGCTGAGAAAGGACCAAACACTGGTCAGCCTTTGAAAAAAAAAAGAAGCAAGCCTTTGGTAATTCAAAGAAAGGGTAAACAGAGTATACATTTCCCTATTGCTGGGCCTCAGATTTCAGGATATAAGTTAACAAGGGCAGGTGCATATACACCTGAGCCTAACTAAGGTGTTACTCATTTTGAGAAACAAACACATCTGTATATACCAAAAGACAATGTGCTAAAATGTTACTACATTTGTGGCACAACAGAAATAATGCAGTTATTATAAAATCCCTCTCATCTTTGAGGTCCATTTTGGGGATGATATTCTATAATTTGTATTTTTTTCATAATTATGTTCTTCCTGCTTTAATAGGCATTGTGCTACTCCCTGGAGCTACCATGGTGACTAAGCTAAACATACCCTCTGCCCTTTCAGAACCAAAATTTTCTTGGCTTGGAATAGAATGCCCTCTTCTTCCTCCCCTTCCTCCTTCTCTTTTTCCTCCTCCTCCTCTTCTTCCTTCTTTTTTATAACATTGGGTATCTCATGCTGTGTTGAGACTTGATTGGCAGGAATACATGTTGTCAAGTAATGAGAGAGTGAGAAAGAAGGATTGGGGAAAACAGGAGAGAAAGGAGAGAGAGAGAAGGAAGAAAAGAAGGGGAGGAAGGAAGAAAATTATAAAGAAGAAAGATCAAAGGAAGGAGGGCAGAAGGGAAGGAGAATAGAAAAGCAGACTCAAAGGAAATAAAAGAGTTACAAACTATGAAGGGTGTACTTCAGAAGACTTCAAATAATTCAGGATTAATTTTCTCGTGGGCTGATATGGTTTGGCTCTGTGTCCCCACCCCACCTTGAATTGTAATAATCCCCACGTGTCAAGGGTGGGGCCAGGTGGAGTTAATTGAATCATGGGGGTGTTTTCCTCCATACTGTTCTGGTGATAGTGAGTGGTTCTCACGAGATCTGATTTTATAAGCATCTGGCATTTCCCCTGCCAGCACTCATTCTCCCTCTCTTGCCTGCTGCCATGTAAGATGTGTCTTGCTTCCCCTTCACCTTCCGCCATAATTGTGAGGCCTCCCCAGTCATGTGGAACTGTGAGTCAATTAAACCTCTTTCCTTTATAAATTAACCAGTCTCAGGTATATCTGTATTAGCAGTGTGAAAACAGACTAATACGTGGGCATTAATGTAAAGTACAGATCATGGATCTGGAATTATGTCAATTTATAACCATTGTAAATTTTGTGTACTTGAACACACTTTTTAATCACAGTATATGCTTACAGTAATTTTTTGCATTGCAAACACTTCTTTTTAAATTATCAAAAATACAATCTGCCTTAATGCAGACAATTACTTGGAGTACATTATGGAAACTTTGACCTTGAGGTTAAGTCTGCAGCAGTTTATCCTTATCCACCTATATGGTGACTTTTGAAAACTGAATGTTGAACCTGCTTCAATTTATTGTTTTCTACATTGTCTCTGATATTTCACAGTGTGGTTCTCTCCTAATTATTGATAGGTCATTGGGAGTTTTTCTTTGGTCCTCCCCATGACACTGTGACACAATTAGATCCAAAATTACTGATTTTATGCTTTTAAAAAAAGATGTTAAATGATGATAGAAGTAAATGTAACATAATCAAAATCACTTGCAGAGGGGCTGATGCTTGTAAACCCTCAGTCCATGTGCTTCTGAGGGCAGCAGATTTGTTCGTTAGCAGATAAAGTGGAGTGACCATGTAACAGTGGTTTAAGGGTTCACCAGAACATTCTGCTTTGAAAGTCTGTGATTATTGATGTGTTGATTTAATTCGGAAAAGGTTGCAGCACAGTTTAAAATCTGAGCAATACATTCAGACACAAAGATTCCTGAAGTGTCAGGCTCTGTTTATGTTATAGTCTTTTAGCCCTTCCTGAGAGGCAGGCAGTACATTAAGGATCAATTTTTTTCAAGACTACCCACTTAATACTTCTGGCAGAATCAGAGGTGGAAAGATTCCTCCATCTTCTATCCCCTACCTAACACCCACATACTTGCACATATCCGTATAATTACTGTTTTTCTAGACCGTTTCTGCCTAGTGTATTTTCAGGTAGGCAGTGTCTGTTAGTGACCTCAGAGCTCTTTGGCCCTGACTTTATTCATCAAGTATCTGGAATTGTATGAACCAACACTTATTCAATTTGAAGCCCTTATCCTAATTCTGTAATTCATATGTGGCATTCCATGCCAGACCAGCACCCTCCTTACATCATCAGGAGGGAAAGAACATTTGATCTGCCACTAATGAGCTGTTAGATTTGGGGTCAATTATTCTGCCCCTCTCAGCTAATTTCCTCATTTGTAAAATAAACTGCTTTGACTAGATGTTTTCAAAGTTTCTTTCCATCTGATTATCTGTTCCAGTTAGTATGGCTGAACAACAAATTAACCTAAAATTTAGTAGCATAAAGCAACCTCTCATTATGCTCACACAGTTTGTGCATGAGGAATTCAGCCAGGGAACAGGGCAGGTGGCTTGTTCCTACTTCATACTGTCTGAAACTCAGCTGGAAGACTCAAAGCCTGGCTCCACAGGGCATCAGCTGTGTTGGCTGGAAGGCCGCGGGCTGAACCAACTGGAAGCTTGCTCGTTCACATGTCTGACACCTGGGCTGCAAAACTGAGACTTCAAATAGCTGGGCATCCCTAGGCATCTCTCTCTGTCTCTTTGTGGCCTCTTCAAGTGTTCTTTCCAGCACTGCATCTTCAATGGAGCCAGACTTCATATATGGTGGCTCAGGATTCTCAAGGTACATGTTCCAAGAGCCAGCTAGAAGCTATGTTACATTTTATGGCCTATCTTCAGAAGTCATTAGGGCTATTTACAGTATAGACACAGCCCACCCAGAGAAAAGGGGAAGGAACCCTGACCACACCTCCTGATAGACACGTGTCAATAGTACATTGTAAAACACGGATTTGGGGTGATGTACACTGGGGTCATCTCCTCTGGAAAATGCAGTGTCACATCATGCAAAAGTAGCTTCTCAATGTGTCTGGTCTAGCATGAATAAAACTCATCTTCTCGGGTTCCCACCTTCTTGAATTTTTCGTATTAAAAAAAAAGTTATGATGCTAGATAAAAGCATTATTAGTAGACACTTATAGTAGACAATTATAGATAACTGCTTATTCAATGAATTCATGTGATTCTGGAGACTGAGAAGTTTCATGATCTGCAGGCTGTAGACCCAGGAAAGCCAGCAGTGCAATTCAAAGGCCTGAGAGCTGATGGCATAGATTCCAGTTCAAGTGTGAAGATGTGAGAACAAGGAGTGACAAAAAGTAGAAGATCAATGTTTCATCTCTTCGGTTTCAGTCAGAGAGCAGATTCACCCTTCCTCCACTTTTTTATTCTATTAGGGTCCTCAATGAATTAGATAATGCCCACCCACATTGAGGAGGCCAATCTGTGCTGCTCAGTCCCCTGATTCAATGGCTAGTCTCTTCCAGAAATACTCACAGACACAGATAGGTTCCGTAGAAGGCAGTCATCCAGAAATAATGTTTAACCAGCTATCTGGACATCCAGTGGCCCAGTTAAGTTGACACATAAAACCAACCATCACACTGCTGTTGGGGATTCTTTAGCTAACTGGCATATGAAACCCCTTCCTGACATTACAAAAAAAAAAGGTTGAATTGCTTGATATGTACCATAGATAGAGGTCTGTAGCTGCAGTTGCCCACCACTCCAAGGTAAATTAATCCAGTGTAAGGACCATTATTAAAAAGAAAGAAAATGAAATTTGTGAAGCCATCACTGCAGCTATACCACCAGACAAAAAAAACAAGCCTTGCACTTTTTGTGAAATATCTCTTCATTTTGTATTGAAAATGCAACTTTTACAAGAAAGGAATACTATAGACTGATATGACTTGAGAAAAAGTGAAGTCATTATATGACAACTTAAAGCAAAGGGAAGCCAAAGAGTGTAAAGCCGGAGAACTTAGTGCCAGCAAAGAATGGTTTGAGAATTTGGGACAGAGGCTTGGCTTAAAAAATGTCAAGATAACAGAAGATGCAGTTCCTGCAGACCAAGAAGCAGCCGACAAGTTCCCAGATGCCATTAAGAAAATCATTGACAAAAAATATTTGCATGAACAGGTTTTTAATATAGATGAAAGTGCCCTATTTGGGGGGAAAACTTGTCACAAAGGATATTTATTAGTAAGGAAAAGAAGCAAGCACCAAGATTTAAGGCAGGAAGGGATAGGCAAACTACTGTTTTCTGCAAGTGCAGTCGAATTTCTGACCAGGACTACCCATACTATAAAGCTGCTAACCCCTAAGCCTAGAAGGATAAAAAATATAGACACCAGCTTCCAGTCTTTTGGTTGTACAAGAAGAAGGTGTAGACAATGAGGTCCCTTCTTCTGGATTAGTTTCATCAATGCTCCGTCCCTGAAATCATCATGTACCTTGCCAATAAGGGACAATATCAACTCTTTTGATACTGAACAATGCCCAGGGCCACCCAGAACCCCATGAGTTCAACACCGAAGGAATCAAAGTGGTCTATTTGTTCCCAAACATAATGTCTCTAACTCAGTTTGTAAATCAGGGTGTCATAAGGACCTTTGAGGTTCATTACACACGGTATGCGATGGAAAGGATTGTCAATGCTATGGAAGAGAATCCTGATAAAAAGAACTTCATGAAAATCAGGAATGATTGCGCCACTGAAGATGCCATCGTTGTTATTGAAAAAGCTGTAAAAGCCATTGAGCCCAAAGATGACTTGACAGAGATGAGTGCTTCTGAACCAGTGCCAGACAATGAGAAAGACGATGTATTATAAAAGAAACAGTGCCAGAAAACAAATTGACATTAGACAGTGTGGCAGGAGAGTTCCTATTCTTCAAGACTGCTCTTGACTTCTTTTATGACATGGACCCCTCTAGGATAGAGGCACCGAGACTAAGACAGACTGTGGAAGAAGAATTGGTATCATTTCAAAACATTTTTACAGAAATGAAAAAGTGAATAGGTCAGACAGAATTTACTATGCATTTCCACAAAGTTACACCAACTATGCCTGCTCTTCCTGCCTCCCCTTCCGCCTCCTCTACTTCATCCACCTTTAATGCCCTTGAGACAGTAGGACCAACACTTCCTCTTCCTCCTCCTCCTCAGCATATTCGACATGAAGATGACAATTATGTCTCTAGCTTATTTTATTATATGAATCATTACGTAATATATATAACATAAAAATATGTGTCAATCCACTGTTTATGTTATCAGTAAGGCTTTTGGTTAACAGTAAGCTATTAGTAGTTAAGTTTCAGGAGAGTCAAAAGTTATATGTGGATTTTTTACTGCACAGGGGTTGGCATCCCTAACCCACATTGTTCAAGGGTCAACTGTACTTCCTTTAGAAGTTGAAATGGACAGATAAGTCCCCCTTTTCCAGCTAGCGCATAGGCATCTGACCTAAGCTTGCCCAATCACGTGTTCCTGATCCCAGCTGGGACACAGTGAGGTGGGGGCAGCACAAAACTTACTCTGTCCTGGCAACACCACGATGTATTGAATGGCAGTAATGCAAGTCACAACTGCCAGTGTGACAATGGCAGTAGGACCTAATCAGAGTCTTCCTATGGCCTAATCCACATTTGATCCAGCCATTTATAATAGCTTCTTGTGGCTCCTATTTTCCAAGCTTGGTTCCTCAGGCTTCCCTCATCTGGTTCTGTGTACCCGTTATCTGTGCATTAAATTTATTTGCTGTTAGTGTTAGCCAGAGTTCATTTCAGTTGTTTACAAACAAGAACCTTGATGGTTCTAGTAATTAAATGTTTTTCTTAGAAAAAAAAAAACTTCTTTTAAATAAAGAGGCCAGTACAGTGGCTCACACCTGTAGTCCCAGTACTTTGAGAGGCTGAAGCAGAAGGCTCTCTTGAAGCCCAGGAGTTCAAGACCAGCCTGAGCAACAGAGTGAGACCCCCCCATCTCTAAAAAAAAAAAAAAAGAAAGAAAGAAAGAAAAAAGAGGAAAAAAAAGAAATTTAGTAAATGTCAATAGGGCACTTTCTGTATACAAGGTACAGTGCAAGGAGTGGACAAACTAATGATAAATAAAAGTCAGAATATTTCTGGAAGGTGGCTTCAGGAGTCCTACATCATGTCTTTGCCCAGTTGTTGTTGTTGTTTTGAGACAGAGTTTTGCTCTTGTCGCCCAGGCTGGAGTGCAATGGCACGATCTCGGCTCACAGAAACCTCCGCCTCCCAGGTTCAAGCGATTCTCCCATGTCAGCCTCCCAAGTAGCTGGGATCACAGGCACCTGCCACCACACCCAGCTAATTTTTGTATTTTTAGTAGAGACGGGGTTTTGCCATGTTAGCCAGGCTGGTCTTGAACTCCTGACTTCAAGTGATCCACCTGCCTCAGCCTCCAAAAGTGCTGGGATCTTTGCCCAGTTTTAACCCCAGCCCAACTGCCTCTTTTGGGTGAGGGAGATGCTAGGGCTTCCAGACTGGCCAGGCTTGGACAGTAGAAAACACTTAGAAAAACCTACTCACCACTCGAAAGTGAATCCTTAAAACTGAAAACCATTCTTTTAAAACTAAATATTTCAGGAGATGAGCTGCATAAAGGGCATTTGCTATGGAGATTCAATTTTGTAGTCTGGGAGCTAAAACAAAAGAAATAATTCCAAACCTCTAACTTTAGAAAATAAAAGCACATCATACTTTCCAGTCTTAGATTTAAGTCTTCAATCCATTTTGATTTTGTTTTTGTATGTAGTGAGAAATAAGGGTCTAGTTTTATTCTTCTGCATATGGATATCCAATTTTCTCAGCACCATTTATTAAAGAGACTCTCCTTTCCCCAGTGTATGTTCTTGGCACCTTTGTTGAAAACAAGTTGACTGCAAATGGTCAGTGTATCTGTTTTTAGGCCACGATCATGCTATTTTGATTACTATAGCTTTGTAGTATAATTTGAAGCCAGGTAATATGATGTCTCCAGTTTTGTTCTTTTGGTTCAGGATGGCTTTTGTTCTTCTGGTTCTTTTGTGGTTCCATATATATTTTAAGGTGTTGTTTTTTTTTTCTATTTCTGTGGAGAATGTCAGTATTTCAATAGAGACTGCTTTGAGTTTGTAGATGGCCTTGGATAGTATGGACGTTTTAACAGTATTGATTCCTCCAATTCAAGAACATGAACTGGCTTTTTATTTTTAGTGTGTCCTTTATAATTTCTTTCATTTATATTTTATAGCTTCATTGCAGAGCTCTTTCACTTCTTTGGTTAAGTTTATTCCTCGGTATTTAATTTTATTTGTAGCTATTGTAAACAGGATTGCTTTCTTAACTTCTTTTTCAGATTGTTCACTGTTGGCATATAGAATTGCTACTGATTTTTGTGTGTTGATTTTGTGTCCTGCAACTTTACTGAATTTGTCAATTCTAATAGTTTTTGGTGGAGTCTTTAGGTTTTTATAAATATAAGATCATATCATCAGCAAACAAGAATAATTTGACTTTTTCCTTTCCAGTTTGGATACCCTTGATTTCTTTCTCTTTTCTAGTTGCTTTGGCTAGGACTCTTTTTAAATTTTCAATCCATGTTTCATTGAATACGTGATAGGGACCCACAGATACAGAGGACCAACTGTATATTTAATAACTTATGTTTAGTGATTATGCATGTATGTTTGTAAACAATTCATATAAAACTCTGATTACGCCCTGGATCAGTGTCATTTTTTCTTCTAGCAGCAGAACACTTTCCTAAAAAAAAAATCTTACCTGTACCTGCTCAATATAAAAAAGAGAAAACAGAGACATGCATAAGTGCTCATTTGAAAGCTGAGAGCCCTGATTGGAATCAAATTCACTCACAGCTCTAAACCAGAGGCCCCTAGTTATATGACAGATGTCTCTGATCTTGCTGATGGCTGGCTGTTTCTGGTTCAGCCCTCCGGAGAGCCTATCAATTTACAAGTCAAGATGATCATAATAGAGCATATGAAATGAAGTACCCACCTTTTCAGATTCCTAGCTCAGTATAGGTAGCCTATATTGAATTTTATATTTTGTAAACTGTTTGCTTGATATTGAGATTTTATTAGTTTTCTTTCATTGCATAATTTTTTTAAAATAGATCTATTTATGTTGCAATTGAGAGCAGTCATCAGTGTTTTTAGCAGTTATCAGAGAGTCAATAGAATTCAAATAATTGGGACTTCTGCAGTGTTCAGACAGAAGATGCAAATGTTCCTGTCATTTCTCAGTTCTTTTCACTTCTGTGCTGAAACAGAGCAGTAGAATGGCTTTCTGCCCTGATGTCACCATGCAACGACAACATAAAAAACCAAGGTTGTTGAGTCTTTCAACATATATTCTTGGGATCTGCACTTTTTTAGTCACGTCGGTGGAGCTGAATTTTCAAACTAGGTGAGGAAAGACAATTCTGGATCTGTTTTACATTAAGGAGTAAACATAATGAAACAGGATGCATGAATAAAGAAATGAAGAGAAGGTTAACAAACTGAACAGTACATCAAAAATACATTTACAGTTTCCGAAGTATTACCCTTCCATTTACGAGCTTAGTTTAAATGAATGCTAAAAACCAGAGGCAAATTTGAAGAGATTATGTGATCCCATAAGTTTGTGCTGTAATGAAAATTTATCATGGAAGAATGGATATTCCTTTTGCTCCAAACAGCTCTAGTAGCTGAGAAAAGTGTTCCCTTTTGCATGGAAACTGCAATGAGCATGATTTGTCACTGTTGAGCAACATGAGACCAAGACGCTTTGTGCTCATTACAGCCCTGGGCCCTGGCTCCACTGCCCCCACGCAGCCGGGGGCTCAGGGGACTCTGGGTGTTCTCTCTGGAAGGTGAAGGGGAACTTTGCATCTGCAGATTCTAACAGCTTGACTGTGAAAGGGGACAGAGGGTAATTGAATAACCTTTTTAAAAGAGGATAAACTTCAAATAGGCACAAATTACCATTTTCTAGAAAATGAATTACCTTGTGTCAAGGTGAGACCCAAGGGAGAGAGAGACAAGGCTGGAAGGTACAAAAAGAATGTGACCTGTGGCTGACAATGAAGTCAGACGTTCATGGGCACTGGGATCACAGTTCTTTCAAGTTTCAGAACACAGGCTTATTTCAACAGTAGAATGAACCGTGTTTTGTTGGAAAATCTATTGGAGACAAAGTACAGGGAAAACATTAAAAAATGAAAAAGAACCATTTGGGGCTTCTCTGACACTTATTCCATTGTATAATTATTAGAGAAAAATAGCTGAACCTCTCTTCTTTCTGGTAACTCTACAGGGTTTTGCTTGGCTCTTAGTCTCTAAGGACATAATTAAATTCCACCATGAACCATATCCTTCAAAGCTAAACCACAGCCCCCTGCCCCCAGAATAAAGGATGCCATTTGAAGCTTCATCCCACTGCTCCTTAGCTTCTCTCACTTGTATTGTTCTGACACGTTTTTGCACAGCTGCACCATCATTACCTAGTACCATTTCTGGTGCATAGTTGACTCATGATAATTTTGTTGAGTGCAGGCAGGATATTCATCTCAATAGCCTGGGGCTGGTTTGCTCAGTGAAGGATTCATCCTAAGTGTCCAGAGGCAGCCTTGCCACAGACCCAAAAGCAGCCTTCCCTCAAATCAATGCACTGTCTCTCTCTAGAAAATTATTCTGATGACCCTGCCATTCTTCCATGACTAGAAAATAAATGGTGCTGGCTGGAGTTCCGCAGCCCACACTTTGCACAACCATCAGCAGTAGTAGCCTTAAATCAGGAATCACAAACTCAAAACCCTAAGGGGACCAGGCACAATGAAATGGCTAGAAAATGACTGTCAAAAATAGAATTTGAACCCATTTCTTCTTTTAGAGATTACTCTCAGTGCCCCCTTTTATAGCCAAACTTTTTGAAATAGTTTAGACTTGCGGTCTCCACTGCAGCAACTAAACCCACTGCAATTAAGCTTCAGCTCTCAGCAGTCCATAGAAACTGCTCTTTGCCAAGTTTATCAAGAACCAATAGACTTGTTTTCAATCCTTGCCTTACTTGACCTCATGGCAATGCTGGTACCTCCTTTCTGTCAAGGACTGTGAAGGAGCTGAGATTTTGCTCTACTTTCAAGCTAATAAACTAGTCTGTGGCTGTTTCATGTGTGTTGGAAAAAGACATGAGACTTCTGAGCCAGAGAAAAAGGACCCAAGGACTCTATTACTCACAGCACACAGTAGCCTGAGACTTAGCTTGGCTGTGTTGGTTTCCCTTGCCTCCCAAAGAGCACAGCAGTGACATAGCTGGTTCCCAGGTATATGCCACACTCACAGTTAAGTTGGCCAGGAAATCCTGAGTTTGGAGAAATCAACCCACAGCCAGGAAATCCTGAGCTTGGAGAAATCACTGTATTTACAGCAAGCCATAAATGAATGTGCTTTTTGTTTGGGAAGGTGGGAAAATAATGTACCCCATCCTTCAAGGCTACTTGCTTCAAACACCATGCTGAGAAATGACCCTGATAATAAGCAGTCAAGATGTGAAATTTTTGGCAGACCCAAGGCCATCCAGTGATGCTCAAGGCTCATGGCAATTTGCCCCTTCCAACAGTGTCTTTCTTCATCTACTATAGTGCCACACTTTCCTGGTTTTTTGGCAACTTCTGTGGCTACTTGTGTTCTTTATCAGTTCTCTTACTCTGCCTTTATGTCACCATTTAAAGAGTCCTGCATTAGCCTCTCCTCTCTTCCTGAAATACTCTTTCCCATCAAGATGTCATGCTTTAATTAGCATCTATATCAGGAAATATAACCTAAATACCAACAGGGGCAAGAAAGGTAACGTAAATGACTGATACGCCCCAGGAATAAAGCTAGACTGCCAGAAATATAATCCTCAGCTGTTATTTTTACTGAACAGAAATGAAAATACTTAACATAATACAAACATGTGTGATACTGAAAATAACATTTTCAAATCAAATATTTAAAATTATGGACTCTAAAAAGTAAAAACATCACATTATTAAATGGCTACATTATACGTCACTAAAAATTGATCTGAAACTTTTTATTCTACACACGATGATAATGGCAGGTTTAATATTTCTATTTACAATGTGCAATAAATACTAAGTTGAGTCGTGATTCTTCTGCCTGGTTGTGATGTTTACTTTTACTACTTTCCATTAAGGAAACAGCTGGTCCCAAACACAAGAACTGCCAAGCCTTAATATGTGTTTTCATTTAGGGTCGCTATGCCTAGGAGAGTGATAGAATTCTGGTATTCCAATGTTATCATTTTTAGATTCTACTACTTATGATTCTGACTTTAAGTAATCTCTATTGGTAGTTCTTCCTTCCCAATTTAAATATTGAGAGAGAAATTGAACTGAGCAATATCAACTACTTTTACTTGAAGTTTAACATTGACCAGAGTGATGCTGTTAAAGATCAGCCCTCAAAACCATAGTATGGAGAATGTAGATCAGTTTCATTTGGGTAACTAATATTAGCACTTAAAGATTGACCAATTTATGTCTTCCCAAATGACATCTCAAAATACATAATTTCAGGATGAATGGACCACTGAAATAATGCATTCCTGTAACAATTCAGTGGTTAGACCAGTCATACTGGCAATTAAAGTGGTCAAATCATTAATGTAATCTTTGCAACCACAGATGCATGAATAAGTCAGTGTCTTTCAACAGCTAAAACTCTCTACAACACTTTGTCATAACAAAGCCACCTAAACTCTGTCGTGTTTCACATCCAGTTTACTCAGCAGTATCATCTTGATGAAAGTTATAGAAGCATAGTGAGCTCACAGAGTTCATTGCTATGTTCATAATATTGTCCAGTTACAACTTTTTAACAAAAAAGATAAAAACAAAAACTAGTTCATAATGTGCTACATGAGCTAAAATTCTACATTGTTGCAAAATGTAGCCACTCTATAGTTTGTTAGTAAATCAGACTTTAACACCAACCATAGCATCAACACTATGTCTTACTAATTTGACCAGTCTACAGTAAACTATTCACCCTCTCTCTTTATGCAAAATAAGTCATTTCATCATATTATATAATCAGAAGTGTTATATCCAAAAGTTCCTGGGTTAAATCAAAGTTGACATCAACACCAAAAACAAATATAATTAATTAGGCAGTAATAGAATGGCAGATAGGTAGGTAGATAGACAGGTAGATAGACAGGTAAATAGATAGATAGATAGACAGACAGACAGACAGACAGATAGATAGATAGATAGATAGATAGATAGATAGGGATCTATCTATGCTTTCAGCAGATGCCACAAATCATTTTTCCATATAAATTAAATAGTAAAATCTTAGCACTAACTTAACATGCCAAGCAACAGTATTCTCACCTAGAACTTTATTTGTAAAGCTTGTTTCTGTTCAGAACACATAATTTCTTCTGTACTCAATAGACTTTAATAAACCTACCATCTGTAAAAAGCAATTGACCAACCAAGTTATTTTCTCTAATGCATTACTAATTCCCTAATGCATAACTAATTCTGCAATAGCACCAGTTATTTTACTCACATACAAAACAAATGCTTAGAAAATTTCAGTTCTTTTGTAAGATCACCAGTTGATTCATTATGTTTCTTTTCTTTATACCTGTATGGTTCTTCATGATGGATTATTTCTAATATTATGATTTTGTTTTGTTTCTTTTAAATACAGACATAGTTTGCATATTCAATATGTGGATCCAGGACTTACTTTCACAAAATAAAAAAAGCTCTCTACCAATTTTTTTAAATACACAGCTTTGGCATTTTATTTTTTTTTTCCATTTTTAATAGAGACATGGTATGGAGACATATTTCTCTATTATTTAAAAAAAATGACTGTTCAAGAACAATGACAAAGAGCATTTGCCATGAGACTTCAGTGTGCAAGATGTGATAGGAAATGGTGGAGACCGGGAGAACAGAGGAGTACATGCAACATTAAAGAGGTCTGGGGAGGCCGGGTGTGGTGGCTCACGCCTGCCTGTAATCCCAGCACTTTGGGAGGCCGAGGCAGGTGGATCACCTGAGGTCAGGAGTTCGAGACCAGCCTGGCTGACATGGTGAAACACTGTCTGTACTAAAAACACAAAAATTAGCCAAGTGTGGTGGCACCCCCCTGTAGTCCCATCTACTTGGGAGGCTGAAGCAGGAGAATTGTTCGAACCCAGGAGTCAGAGGTTGCAATGAGACAAGATTTAAAAAAAAAAAAAGAAAAATTAAAAAAAAAGGTCAGGGGAGTGGTTGACCTACAGAAATGCAAGCTCATTGTCCCCAGTTTTTGGGTTTTTGGGTTTTCTTGAGCCAAAAATCTGGGTTTCTTTGTATGAAATCATCCAATTGTTTCATATTACCTTGATTTTGCTTAAAGCATAACCTATTCCACACTAAACATATTTCCAAGCTGGTTAACAGCTAATTTTAAACTGAGGGTACCAGTTTGTAACCTCTGAAAGGAATAGGGTGATATTCCTTATCTCACAGGCTAATAAAGCCAGAATCTGGATTCAGTAGCTAGAAGAGCTCTTAGTCTTTAAATGAAAAGAGTTTTATTTTGTTTTGGTTTTGTTTTTTTTAGTGGCCACAGCTAATGTTGTTTTCAAAATATATATATATACATATGTGTGTGTATGTGTGTGTGTGTGTGTGTATATATATATTTCCTGGATATTCAGAGTATAAATACCTCAGCCCAAATATTATAGTTATTGTCAAGCAAAAATCTTTGTTTGAATTCCATATCGTAAAGTCTATTTACCCAGTAATGGGTAAAATTGAGAATCCAACTAATAATGACCAATAATAATAATAATTAGGTCGGGCGCGGTGGCTCATGCCTGTAATCCTAGCACTTTGGGAGGCCAAGACAGGCAGATTATTTGAGGTCAGGAGTTCAAGACCAGCCCAGTCAACATGATGAAATCCCGTCTCTACTAAAAATACATACAAAATTAGCTGGGCATGGTGGCACACCAGTAGTTAGTAGTTCCAGCTACTCAGGAGGCTAAGGCAGGAGAATCACTTGAACCCAGGAGGCAAAGGTTGCAGTGAGCCGAGATCACGCCACTGCACAATCCAGCCTGGGTGACAGAGCAAGACTCCATCTCAAAAAAATAAAAAATAAATAAAATAAAATAATAATGATAATAATAGTAAAGTGAATTGACTTAAGTTCTTATCCCCGATCCTGCCATCCCTCACGTATACTTGTCTAGAACCAACAGAGCACATCTGCTGTTATTATCCCCAATTCCTATGCTATGCTGTGGAGGGGGTTTAACACTAAGAAAAGAAAACCCACACATATTACATCTGGAGCACACATATCGAAATGGAGTAGTTCAAAGCATCCCAAAGGTTCCAAGTTTGGCCTCAAATCCAGTGAGATTCATGGAGCCTTTGTCACCAGCTTTGGCCTGTGTTCTCCTCTTAGAGATGAAGCCATCGCTTTCCCCTTTCAAGGGCTGCTGTTCCTCAACCACCTATTTCCATGGTCCTTTCTCGGTCACCCATTATACTCACAGAGCTTTCTGAGAATTTTGCTTCTTCCTAAGAAAAACCTCACCTCTCCCCCTTTCTCTGGGGAATGCCTCTTCCAAGCTCTGCCTCTCCATGTCAGCCCCTCATCAGGCTCTCTGTGGCTTTCTCCCAAACCACCATTTGAACCCAACATTAGATGCCTTATGGAATAAACATTCCTCATCAAACATCATTGATTTGACTACAAATATATCAGAACCATGGCAGTAAATATCACTTTCCTATCACTAAGTCATAGTTACAAAGAAAAACACCCTTGTTTGGCTACAGAAAAAGACATGCTGAAAATGTATCCAATTATTAATCAAATTAAAAACACTGTAACCATTTGAGACTAGGTTCTTTCACTCATCAAAATTGATTTGTCCACTTTAAACCAAATGGAAATTTCTGTTTTCTCATTTCCAAGTAATGGTTCTTTCACTGCTTAATTATTGCAATTATGGGAAAAAGAACCCGTGTGATTATTCTTTTTAAACTTAAATATGAGTTTTGTCACTGACCCCATAATTTTAGCAAACCAAGAGTGAATTGCCAGCGTGAGTGAAAAGAAATGTTGCTGTTTTTGCTTTATGTTTAATAATTTCCCATTACAGTTTTTCCAGCAAAAAAGCCATGAACTCAGTATTGAATACAGAATTTATTCAGTCTATTCTACACAAACAAGCAGTAGACATATCCCTTCTATCCTATTTAATCTGTTCATTTGCTTTTCAGACCCTTTTTCATAGGGAAGCCATGGTGATGTAGTGGTTAAAAGAACAGACTATAGCATCAGAATTGTCTTCAAACTTTTAGTTCTACTGTTTGTTGATTTTGTGGCCATGGGAAATGAATTAATTTCTCTGCCCTTCAATGTCCTCATCTGTGTGTAAGTACAGGGTCAGGGTCAAGCTTATCTGGTTGTTATGAGGATTAAGTGAGCTAAGTTATGTACAAGCACTTAGCATAGAGCGCGATAAATTGTGAAGCTTATTACTACTGTTGCTATAATAATCAACACAGATGGCACTAAGATAAGCCAACCAAACTCACTGAAGGAAAGAATCCTATGTTCTACATCTTTGTACTCCCTGTAACACTGAGCAGACTGCCTTCTGTATCTGTGAAAACATTATTCTTTATTGGTAAGATAAAATGTACCATCACTTCCATATAGTAGCATCTGAATGAATGCTTTTTGCTGTATTTAAGTTTCGTGTTACCTAAAGACAAGAATTGGAGGATAAAGTGGCAATGAAACCCACTTCTCCTAGTCCACTTTACGATTCTGTTTTTCAGAGAAAAAATTATCTTTCTTTCCCTCCCTCTCTCCTGGTATAGCAGCCTTTGCAGTCACTGGCTGGCATATTCAGCCAACCCATGCAGTATCCTCTGCAAGACCATGACTGCAGCTTAGCTTCACTACTTGTAGAAATTGATATAGAAAATGTTTATAGAGAGTCCTTTTATTTACAAGTACATTTAAAAAATTACAAAAGTGAGTAAGTAGGGAATGAAAAATGTTATAGGCACTCTGGTGAACGGTTTGGTAACTTCTTAGAAGTTGAATATGTACTTAGCACACAACCCAGCAATCCCACTCCTAGGTATTTAATCGAGTGGAATGAAAATTTATGCTCATGCAAACACCTGCATGCAATGACTAGACAAATGAGTGAATGGATAAACAAACCATGGTGCATCCAGACAGTAGAATATCACACAGCACTAACGGGGAATAATCAACTGATACACACAACATGAATACAACGCAAATGCATTTTTCTGGGTGAAAGAACCCAGTATGAAAATAGTTACATGCCGTACAATCGCACTTATATGGCATTCTGGAAAAAACAAAACTATAGGAACAGGGAACAGATCAGTGATTGCTGGGGTTAAGTGAGGGAGAGGGTCTGCCTATGAAAGGCAAGCATCAGAGAATTCTTGGGAGAGTTAGTATTGTTCTGTATACTGTGGTGGTTACAAGAATCTATACAAGTGTAAAACCTCATAGAACTGTTTGCCCAAAAAGGTGAGCTATGCTACATGTAAATTCAAAATGGAACAAAACATTGAAAGTGAATAAGCAGATTCTTCTATTTGGGAATTTATGACCTACTTTTAAAAGACTCTTCTATTTGTTGCCACAGTGCTACATAGAAACTCTTGAAAAGAATGCTAAGGCAAGCACAGAATGCTGGGAAATCTGTGTGTGTAGGTAGTAAAGAAGTTAGCACATTGGTTAACGTCTTAATGCATGTTCTGGTTAGTGAACGGGGAGCGGGGCACAGGTAACAGATCCCTCCAGCAACGTTAACAGCGGGATCGGGGTGCAGAGGAAAGAAAACCCTGGGCGTGTTCAGGAAACACTGTTGGTCTGGTTTGGCTATAATTTAAGGTGCAGGGTTGACAAGCAGAGTACAGTAAAATGTTAATGCCTATCTTGACTGGAAGTGATGAGGATTCAATTGCATAATGTGGGTTATAATGCAGGTATAATGGCATAATGAGCCTGAGGGTTAAAAAATACTACATGTAACCTAATGTGTGTATAATGAGACATTGTACATATGAGCGTTTAGCATGCAGAGTGACTTTGCTAAGTTTTCTCTAGACATTGCCAAAAAAATGGAAGCTTGACAGGCTGGGAGATGCAGGATGCAGAATGGGCTAGAATGGGGTAGCTGGAGTGGTGGATGTCAACTGGAGGCTTTTGTTTCTGGTCACAGAATGAAGTTCTGAATTAAGCAGTCAGCAGGAACAAAAAAAGAAATGTAGTCCTATCTCAGCAGCTCTGTAGATGTACAAGGAACTGAGACTAAATAAGACCAATTATTAATGGGTTGTTGGGGATGGGGACAGGAGTAGAGTGGAGAGAAAAGAAACTGCCCTCACAATTATGTCAACTTTCCTAGGGAAAGCAGGTACCACCAGATTATGTCACTATTCATCATAACAAAGCTCCAAACCAAATAAGAGCTTCCGACCGATGGGGCCTTTCTTCTCATTGGCTTCCTAGTGCTTCCAAGATAAAGACAAGCTCTTCAAATTTCCTTGTAGGAAATTTCCCAGCAAAATCTGAAACCTGTTCATCCCACTGGCCTCAATATCCACCATTCTTCTGTTCAGTCCCTGCATTCAACCACTCTTTCTTTCAATTTCTTAAATGCGCTATGCTCCCTCTTGCCACAAAGCCTTGGCAAATGCTATTTGTTCCCTACCTGGAAACCTCTCTCCATCTTATGGGCTCCCCATGCATTTCTCAGTCCTTGCCCCCACCTTGCCTCCAAGACCCTCAAACCTGTGCTCAAACTTTCCTCTCCTCTCCTCTTTTTTGCGTTCAGTGTCCTCTGGCACACACCCCCTGAAGACTCTCTCTTGTAGTTGTGATTTCTCAGTTATTGCTCTCATAGGCATTCAGATATTTTCCCAAGTGACGAATAAAACACTGCATAAGTTTTGAGATGCAGATAATCATGTAGAAACACAGAACCCCAGGAAAGGATAGAGTTTTGCTTCACATTTGAATATTTTATTGCCTACTATCCTCAATAAAAATATCATCACTTCAATGATATTATGTCAAGGCATTTTCAGTTCATAATAGATAAGAGTTACATGAATACAAAGAACTATTTAATAATCATTAGCTAAAGTATGATTTATAGTATCTGATTTTAATGCTATGCTCTTTTAAGGTATTATAGAATACTTCTAGAGGACATCACATTTTCTTCATTCGTGGTATAGAAGAGAACTTTAAAGAAAGAAGTGAGGGATAATGTCAAGTCAGGTTTTGCTTTCAGCCATGCCTCGCTTCCTTGTTGTGCAGTGGCATTTGAGAGCGCATGCTTAAGTTGTCAAATGCAGATATTTAATGCAATTTTCTCAGTCCATTCAACAAGTCAGATATGCCTTTCTTGAGCACTGGTGATTCATGATTTTCTTCCTTTCCCAAACCTGGAGACCATCCAGGCTACTCTCAGGAACACTGGTAGGCCAACCCACTTTAAATTATGCCTGAATATATACATGTGCAACCATCCAAAAAAGAAAAGAGGCCTTCCCAATACAAGCTGCAAAGAGTATAAAAGTAATTCTATCTATCCATACTTTAAAGTTGTCTGATAGTTGGTTTAAAAGCACATTTGCCAATACTCTATAAACAAGCTTTTATTGACTGCATTTACTCCCTGTGGAAGTGTGATTTCCTCTGGCTCGTGCTCATACATTATGTCATACTTCCTGGAGAACAAAGATACATTTTTTTTTTTTTTTGCTCATTTACTTTATCCCCTTGTTCAGATTTTGAACTGAAAAAGAAACACTTAAGAACCTCTCAAGTCAGAAAGAATGAGTATTGCTAGCTCAGTGCCTAGGGAAAGCAGGTACCTCCAGGTTATGCCACGACTTCACCATAACATAGCTCCCAACCAAAGACAACCAGAAGGGATGGTCCCAAAAACACAGACATGGGCCAAAATGGGACATTTGATATGGCCACTTCAATATCTCTACATGTTCCTCTGTGACCTGGCCATTCTTCAATTAGCAGTTATTTACTGATCATCAGGGTGCCATGACTTTGATAGGTGCTGGGCACATAGCGACAGACCATGGCCCCTCTCTTCATGAGTCCACCTTCTAGTTGAGAAAAAGCAGGAAATAATTAAACAACCGTTTCTATAAATTGTGATAATGGTGATGAAGGAGAGGCTCAAGCTGCTGTGAGAGACAATAGTAGGAGAGTGATTCAGAAAGATTAGTTTGAGGGCATAGCACTTAAGAGAAGGTCTGAAAGATGAGAAGGAATATATGCATCACAGTTTCTAAGCTTCATCCTGTCATTGAAGATGGAGCAAGGATCTGTTGCGCACAACACAAAAATCCATCCTGATAGCAACATCAGAACTATCTCATCAAACTGGCATCGGCCATTTCTCACCCCTGGGATCTGTGGATTGCTGGAGACAGTAGCAGCAATATGCCCAATGAAACTGGAGGAGCAATCTGGAATCCTGGTGTCTTGAAGATTCATGCTTAAGTTTTTAAAAATACTGTCGGAATTTGCAGGAGGAGGTTTGCCATTAAGCACAGCTTTCATGGGAGTAGTAGATTTTAGATGGCAGCTGAGGCTGCCATCACTGGGAATCCCAATGCCATCAGCTGTCATCAGTATGCAATAGCACTCTCTAAGAAAGGGGTCGCCAGCTCCCCTTAACCTCTGAGCTGGAACTCTCACTTGAGAATCTGTTGTCATCACTGTTAATACTTTCTATAGTCATGGTGAATGCAGGGAGGAGCAAGAATCTCCAAGGTGCCAGAAGCAGCAGTTAGTTTTTGGAGTCTCCCCCACCAGACACTTCATTGCTTAGGGCTTCCTCTACAGATATAAGGGAAGTAATGGCATGAACCAAGGACCTGGGAATGAACCTTCCCCAGTGAGGGGGGAAAAGGTGGTGATGCTGTTAATTACTTGGCATTTCATACTCATACTATCATTTTGCTTTGTTTTCCATTTAGTTTTAATATGCTCATTATCTGTTACTCTTATTACTCTACCATTTATTTATCCCCTTTCTTATCTTCTCCATTTCTCTCTCCTCATTGACATGGTCATTCTAGGAAACAAATAGGCTTAAATTTGCTTTATCTTCAATCATCTTCTATCTGTCCCTTGATCCTACAATCTTTCAAACCACTTTTTTTTTTTTTTTTTGGAGTGGAGTTTCACTCTTTTTGCCCAAGCTGGAGTACAATGGCATGATCTCAGCTCACTGCAACCTCTGCCTCCCAGGTTCAAGTGATTCTCCTGCCTCAGCCTCCTGAGTAGCTGGGATTACAGGCATGCAACACCATGCCTGGCTAATTTTTTGGTATTTTTAGTAGAAATGGGGTTTCACCATGTTAGCCAGGTTGGTCTCGAACTCCTGACCTCAGGCCATCTTCCTGCCCAGCCTCCCAAAGTGCTGAGATTACAGGCAAACCACTTTTTATATCATAAGTTTTCACTCCATCTAGAATAGAATGGTAGGTAAGACGTCAGTATACTAATTAACCGTCCCAACTCTCCCCACACTCAATGAGTCTTGGGCAAGACATTTAATAGTTCAAAGCCTCCATTTGCTTTTCTATCAGCAGATAAGCTCTTAACTCCAAATACACATCAGAGTCACCTGGGACCTTTTCCAAGGTGCTCTCATGCCCAAGTCCCACTTTTAGAAATTCTGATTGTGGAGGTTAGTGAACCAAACGTGTGTATTTTATGAATCTCCCTGGAGAATTCTGAATCTCCTCTCTTCCCTTCCCCAGTTGAGGACAACTAAATTATTGACTCCCTAAAATTATCTGATTGCAAGTCTGTAATTAAGTGATTTATTGCCAAACTTCTCAAAATGTTATTCTATACTTCTATTCTATACCATTCTACACTTTCTCCTGGCAATCCTCAACCCATTGCAATGTCTCTTGCCCAAACCCTACCATTTTCTTAAATTTTGCTCTTCCATTGTCATCTACATGATTCTCCCACCAGAGAAAATACCCTATTCTCACCCTCATATGCACTTTATCTAAAGGGAAATATTATTATCGAAACAATTCAGGATTTTTCCAAATGCATAGAACTTTTTGACCACTCCTTCCTTTCTCTCACCATGTGATAATCAAATCCTCTCCACGTTGTCTCTGAAAGGTCTGCTTACTCTCTTCTATTGTATTACCTTGGCCACTTCTACTGCCTATATCCAATGATTTCCTTTGTACTCTTTTTCCCCATCACTGCCAAGACAATCATTTCAATGCAATAAATGAGGAAAAATGTATTAGCTTAAGAGCTGGCACCAGAATTACATTCTGAAGAAATCTTGTCTTTGATGGAAAGAAATGTTTGAAGCAATGCACTAAACATAGGTGATTAAATACATTAATTTATCTCTGTTCCCTCCTGAAACCACACTTAAAGTAGAACAAACAATGTATAAAACCACAAAGGACAAAGAAAATGGGACAATGGATGAGAGATGTGAAATTTTCAGAAAATGGAAACCAAATGTATTGTAGCACAGATAAGAATGCTAAATACATTACAAGACTTCAGAGGGAAATGCCAAGTCATTTCACATCTAAAAATCCAGGAAATAACTAATAATTTGAAAATAGGTTTTAGACTTAGTGAAGTAGCAGGCACATAACCAGGACTCAACCAGTAGTTTTTCAATAAATCAGAGGGACTAAAGGTTTATTCCATAGTAATGCTGGCCAGCATCCAGAGAAAGGTAGGGGAAATTATAGGCCTGAAAAATGAGTTTAAGTGAAAATCTATCCACTAAGACACTCCCCCCAGCCCCTGTGTACCACCAAGATCCAAGAATGCTGTAAGCCAGATTTTAACACACATGCCCAGGCAATAAATTAAAGAATTCCTCTCTGGACAAACAGATTTGTTGCAGGAAGTACAACCTATACATTGTAGACTGAATGCTTGCATTCCTGTGAAATTAATATGCTAAAGCCCTAATCTCAGCATGACTGTATTTGGAAATAGGGCCTATTGCTTCTCAGCTTTTTGTCTAAGATCAAGTACAGAGATAGGGGCTTTGGGTGGTGATAAAGGTTAAATGAGGTTATGAGAATGGGGTCCTGATTTTATAGGGAGATTGCCCTTATGAAAAGAAGAAGAGACACCAGGGGGAAGAGAGATAAGAGCTCTCTTTCCACCAGGTGATAACACAGCAAGAAGATGGCTGTCTACGAGTCAGAAAGAGAGCCTTCAGCAGGAATCAAGTCAGCAGGCACCCTGATCTAGGACATCTAGCCTCCACAACAATGAGAAAATAAATTTCTATTGCTTAAGCCGCTCATCTAATATATTATATTTTGTATGGCAGCCTGAACAGATTAGCTCTTACTATACAGACTATAGTAAGAAGTCTTCTAAGGATATGACTGGGTCCCTTCCAATCAACCTAGAGAGAAATCCATTAGTTAACAAGCACCACTCAGGGGCCTCAAATCTGTTCATCATTCTTAAATATAAATGTATAACAAAGGACAGAGTTTTTAAACTCTCTAACATAAAAGGAATAAAACAAAACATCAAGACTCCAAAGAAAGAAAGAGAAAAAGTTTTAGGGAAAAAAGTAACCTCTCCACAAATAAAGAAATATCTAGAATGTTTATCATTCTTAAAAAGTGTGGATGGGAGACAGCTTTAGGTATTGCTTATTTGAAAAGAGTCTCATTCTAACCCTCACTTTTGATTGATAGGTTGACTCGTATAGACTTCCAGGTTGCAAAAAAAATTATTTTACTCAAAATTCAATGATATTGCTCTGATGTCTTTTGGCTTCCAGCACTGCTATTGAACAGTGTTATATTGTTCTGATTCTTTTTGTTTGTTTGTGTGGCTGTTGTTTAAACTGGAAGCCATGATAATCCTCTCTTTATCCCTGGTATTCTAGAATTTCATGATGCTAAGAATTAGCATTGGCCTATTTTGTGAGCTCTTTTAAGCAAAACTTTTCAGATCTGAAATATTTTCTTATGTTTTATTCATTCTGTCCCCTCTATTTCCAATGTTCTAACTCTACCATTGCCAGTAGAAAATAGATTGGATGTTGGATTTCTTGAATTGGGCTTTAGATTTTTTATTATTTCCTCTTTTTTTTTTCTTTTTGTTCTTTCTGGAAAATCCCCCTTGACTTTATCTTCCAATACTTCAATTAAATTTTACATTTTTGGCTCTCATAATCTTCAAATCCACACCACCTTTTATTATATTGAAACAGAAAATAGAGAAAAATACTTATTGGAGCTCGCTTTTGTTGGGCTAGAATTGGTATGGTCTAAATGTTTGTGTCACTCCAAAATTCATATGTCAAAATGATCTCCAGGGCAGTGGAGATAGAAGGTGGGGCGTTTGGGGGTTGATTAGGTCATGAAGGCTGAACTCTCATCAATAGGATTTGTGCCAGTACAAAAGAGGCCTAAGGGAGCTGCTAGGTGAGTAGGTGAGGATGAAGCAAGAAGGCATTTATGAGGACCAGGCCCTCGCCAGACAGGAAATCTGCCAGTGTCCTGATTTTGGACTTCCCAACCTTCAGAACTCTGAGAAATATATTTGTTTTATTTAAATATTTTCCAGTGTAAGGTATTGTGTTATAGCAGCCTGAACAGACTAAGACAAGAATCAACCATTGAGTTCTAATAATAGCAGTAGACAGCAGTGTACTTCACCTGGGTCTTCAGGTTGTTTTACAGTGGGGTCAGGGGAGCAGCTTACCTAGGCTAGGCAGGCGTTTCTGGATCTGGGTGTTCTGTGTGTCTTTCAACCCCACTTGAACCAGTGGTCTAGCCTCAGAGCACGTTCTTATCAGGGCAATGGCAGGCATAAGCACAAAGAGGACAAGTCCACCACACAGGCATATTTCAAATTCTTGCTTGCATTTCATTGATTAACATCCCCTTAGCCAAAGCAAGTCATGCAGCCAAACTCAAAGTTAAGGGGCAGAAAAGTAGATTTTTTCCTATGGATATAGAAAAGAATGAATATTGAATGAACAATAAGTCAATCTGCTGCATAAGGCAAAAATTAAATCAATAAAAACAAGTTTTAGGTAAAGGAAATATTACAATATACAATGTAGTCCCTACTGAACAATAATTACCTGATCACAACAAGGCAAACACTAAATATTCATTTGCCCAAAATTGTGATATAACAATTCTGAGAAGAGGTAGAGAAAGTGGAGTGGGTGGCCAGGTGCAGTGGCTCATACCTATAATCCCAGCACTTTGGGAGGCCGAGGTGGAGGATTGCTTGGGCCCAGGAGTTCAAAACCAGCCTGGACAACATAGCAAAACCCTGTCTCTACAAAATATACAAAAATTAGCCTGGTGTGTTGGTGGCACCTGTAGTCCCAGCTACTGAGGAGGCTAAGGTGGGAGGACCACCTGAGCCCAGGAAGTTGAGGCTGCAGTGAGCCAAGATTATACCACAGCACTCCAGCCTGGGCAACAGAGTCAGACCCTGTCTCAAAATAAATAAATAAATAAAGGTGGAGTGGGGGAATATAAAAGGCTGATTAATAAGTAAAATTATACACTTAGATCACTTAGATAGAAGAAATAAGACCTGGTGTTCAATAGATCAGTAGGGTGACTAGAGTTAACATTAATCAATTCTACACTTCAAAATCGCTAGAGGAAAAGAATTCAAATGTTTCTAGCATAAACAAAATATAAATATTGAAGGTGATAGATATTTCAGTTACTTTGATTTAATTATGTGAATGTATCAAATTATCACATGTACCCTAAACACAGGTACATCTAATATGTATCAGTAAAAATAAATTTTTAACAAATCCACCATTGATGAGCACCTAGGGTGATTCCATCCGCATATGGTAAAAATTAAATCGGTAAGAACAAATTGTAGGTAAAGGAAATATTGTGAATAGTGCTGCTGTGAACATTCAAGTGCATGTGTCTTTGTGGCAGAATGACTTATTTTCCTTTGGGTTTATACTCAGCAATGGGATTGCTGGGTTGAATGGTAGTTTTAAATTATTTGAGAAACCTCCAAACTGCTTTTCACAGTGGCTGAATTAATGTATTTTTCCCATCAACAGTTTCTAAGTGTTCCTTTCCTTCAAGCCCTGACATCTGCTATTTTTTGGCCTTTTAATAATAGCTATTCTGACTGATGTGAGATGGTATCTCATTGTGGTTTTGATTTGCATGTCTGTGAGAATTAGTAATGTTGATCATTTCTTCATATGTTTGTGGGCCACTTGTACGTGTTTTTTTAAGAAGTGTCTGTTCATATCCTTTGCCCACTTTTTAATGGGGTTATTTGTTTTTTCTTGTTGAGTTATTGCAGTTTCTTATAGATATTGAATATCAGACCTTTGTTGGATGTTGGAGTTTGTGAAGATTTTCTCCCATTCTGTAGGTTTTCTGTTTACCCTGGATAAAGAAAATGTGGTACATATATACCATGGAATGCTATGCAGCCATAAAAAAACAATGAAATTATATTTTTGCAGCAACATGGGTGCAACTGGAGGTCATTATCCTATGTGAATTAAGGCAGGAACATAAAACCAAATACCACTTGTTCTCACTTACAAGTAAGAGCTAAACATTGGGTACATATGGACATAAAAAATGGGAAGATCTGGGGACTGCTAGAGCAGGAAGAGAGGTGGGAGTCCAAGGGCTCACAAAGCTACCTATTAGGTCTTATGCTCACTAGCTGGGTGATAAGATTCATACCCCAAACCTTAGTGTCATGCAGTAAGCCCAGGTGCACATGCACTCCTTAAATCTGAAATAAAAGCCAAAATTATTGTAAATAATACATAAATAATTTGAAGTGCTAAAAACCTCATTCTTTATAATGCAGCAATGTCTCACATTTGTGATCAATAAACAACAGTATACTGGAAGAAAGAGAAGTTAGTTTGGGAAGGGAATCACACTTTAGAAAATGTGGGGCAGAAGGCAGATATTTTTCATTAAGAGGCAAACTGTGCATGTGTATTACTTACATAGTTATTTAAAAGATTTTAAATAGCACAGATTTTTTAAAGGTAATTATGTTTAAACATACATTGATAAGTGTTTGGAGAAGTAACAGTAACACAACAAAAGTATTCATTGAGCACTTCCTGTGTTTTAGACTTTGTAAGCTGTATGTGTTTAAACCCTTCCAAAAATCCTGAGATAGGTACTGTTGTTTTCCCCATTTTATGGGCAAGGATATGGAGCCTCCTAGTGGTTGCATAATTTACACAATCAATAGGAGCAGAGCTGGGATTGGAGCTGGGCTCTCAAGCACCGTCCCACACTCCCTTTCCCGGTCTAGGTTGGTGTCAGTGCAATCGCGTGTTGCTTATAGACAGGAATGCATCCTGAGAATTGAGTCATTAGGTGATTTTGTCATTCTGCAAACATAGAGTGCGCTTACACACATCTATAAGAAACTGCAACACCTCAACAAGAAAAAACAACCCCAATAAAAAGAGGGCAAAGGATATGAACAGACACTTCTCAAAAAACACATACAAGTGGCCCACAGACATATGAAGAAATGAACAACATTACTAATCCTCATAGCCTACTACACACCTAGGCCATATGCTGTAGCCCATTGCTTCTCGGCTACAAACCTGTACAGCAGGTTACTGTTCTGAATACTGTTGGCAATTGTAACACAATGGTAAGTATTTGTGAGTCTAGAGATACCTGAACATTAAAAAAATTACAGTAAAAGTACAGTATTATAATTTTATGGGAACAGTCATATATGCGTTCTGTCATTGATAGAAATGTCATTATGAGGTGTATGACTGTACTTCAGCAAAGAAACAGTTCTACATGATAAAGAGAAGAGAATTTAGAGGTCAAGGACTAGCCAGGAGGGAGTAGGTGAGAGATGAGGTGGAGTTGAAAGATTAAAGAGGAAAAGGGTAATGGTAAATAGGTAAATACCCCCCACCCATCTCCACCCCCCCGTTTCACCAAAAGGTATTCAGATAACCTGCTAAACTCAAAGACTTGAAATGAATGATTTATTTTTCTATGTAAACCAAAGAAGTGACTGAGTTTTACGTCAGGGTTGATCTCCTGTAAGCAAGCTAACCTTGTGGAAATCTTTTGAGGGTGCTCCAATTTCGTGGCAGCGAACTGATGAATTAAAGGTAATCAAAAGGGATTTCAAGGAGCATGGTGTCCCCTTCAGCCCCAGCGGACAATTAGGCAAAAATAAGATACAACTTTTTTCTCCTCCTCGTTGTCTTTAGAAGTAAATCTTCTGTCACTCCCCAGTATTTAAAACGGAAAGCACAGAATCTTATCAAGACAATGGACTCTTCACCTACCAACTTTCTCTCCCAGTGTACTCTCCTTTCCACGTTGAATCCTAGATTAACTCATTCAAAACCCCAGCTGGTCTTTCTGAATTTCCATATCTTAGAGCACACCCATTTTCTTTTGTCCAGACTTCAGTATCAATTTTTAGTTTGTACCTCTGTTGTAGCACTCACTGGAGTCTGTCTTCATTTACAGCTGTCTGATTTCAAGTTTCAGATCATCAAACAGTTAGACTAGTTTAGCCCACCAAACTGCAAGGAACCATGACCATCTCGTTCATCTCATCACTGCATACCACACCTAGCTCTGCGAGCACAGAGGGGCTGTCCTTAAGTGTTCTTTAAAGGGATAAGTGAGTGAGTAAAGTGAATGAATGAATGAATGAATGGACACAAATTAATGAATGAAGTAGCTGTGGGGCTTGGCATGTTTTGCTTAACTTATCTGTAATTCAGTTTCTTTACAGATAACATGAGAGAGTTGAACCAGGTTGTTTTTTGTTTTTTTTTTTTTTTTGAGATGGAGTTTTGCTCTTGTTGCCCAGGCTGGAGTGCAATGGTGCAATCTCGGCTCACTACAACCTCCGCCTCCCGGGTTCAAGTGATTCTTGTGCCTCAGCCTCCCAAGTAGCTGGGATTACAGGCACCTGCCACCACACCCAGCTAATTTTTGTATTTTTAGCAGAGATGGGGTTTCGCAGTGTTGGCCAGGCTGATCTCGAACTCCTGACCTCAAGTGATCTGCTCACTTCGGCCTCCCAAAGTGCTGAAATTACAGGCATTAGCCACTGCACCTGGCCTGAACCAGGTAATTTTTAAAGTAACTTCTTGTTGTCAAATTCTGTGATTTTATGTTGAAATAAAAATACAAGAAACACATTTTCCTACATATACTCACTTATATTTTGGAGAGTTATTCCACTTTTGTTTGTTATCTCATTCAGGTACTGATACTGAAATTTAAAAATGTATTTGGCAAGAGCTATTTGAAGCCCAAGAATATTTTTTATGCTTTTATTCTGCTTTCAAGTGGGAAAATGTTAACTAGAAGTTAACATGTGGAATCATAATGAGGTTGGGGAATGCCAAAAGGATAAACTTCAATGCTCAGCTGCCCTTGCCCAGATAGTGTTGTCTCTTCTTGCCCAAGGAGGGGGGTCTTTTTGAGGCTTTTCTGAAGGCCCTGAATAGAGGGTTCACATATCCTTCAATTACCTCCTGGAATTCTCAGTCTCAGACAGGAAAATAGAATGATATTACAAAGAATTTTTCTTTATTCTTTTTGTTGTTGTTGTTTTCTGAATATACTAAAGCCAGATTAATGAGTGCTTCAGGGAATAAAGTCAGAAACATTGAAATATGAAAGAAACAAACAAAAAACTCAGTTCCCTATCCTGTAGCTGTCAATGATTTTTGGTAGCATTAAAGAATATGAAGTGTTGGCAAGCTTTTTGAATCACCTATTTATTTTTAATACTTGGTTCCACAACTGGAATTTAAGTGCAAAATTTATTCACCACAACTTAGCACCCTGAGCTCGCTTAAGCTACTGCTTGCATCGTAAAGGCCATTTTCCTAAAAGTCATTGCCTAAAACAAGTGAAGTTCAAGGGAGTAAATTAGATGAAGAACACAGAAATCAGGATATACATCGTTTTTACCAACAGAGACCAAAAAAAAAAAAAAAAAAAAAGAATAACAACAGTATTCAGCATGCAGAAAATGTTTTGAAACACGGATTTTTATTGTTTTAGTTTACTTTGAAATATTTAATGAACAAACAAAAATTGCATATATTCAGGGTATACACCTTGATTTGACCTATGTATACATTGTGTACTGATTACTGTAATCTAATTATCACAGCCATCACCACCCATAATTACCGTATGTGTGTGTGTGTGTAGGGGGTGGGATGAAGGCAGTTAAAATCTGCTCTTTATCAAAATTCAAGTAAACAATATAGTACAATTAAGTATAGTCACCATGCTGTACATTAGATCTCCAGAACTGATTCATCTTAAAACTGAAAGTTTATTCCCTTTGACCAATTTCTCCCCATTTTTCTCATCCCCCAGCCCCATGCAATCACCATTCTACTCTCTGCTTCTGTGAGTTTGGCTTTTTTAGATTTCACGTATAAATGAGTTAATACAGTACTTATCTTTTCGTGCCTGGCTTATTTCATCTAGCATAATGTCCTCCAGATTCTATTTTTTTTCTTTTTTTTATTATTATTATACTTTAAGTTTTAGGGTACGTGTGCACAATGTGCAGGTTTGTTACATATGTATATATGTGCCATGCTGGTGTGCTGCACCCATTAACTCGTCATTTAGCATTAGGTATATCTCCTAATGCTATCCCTCCCCGCTCCCCCAATCCCGCAACAGTCCCCGCTGTGTGATGTTCCCCTTCGTGTGTCCATGTGTTCTCATTGTTCAATTCCCACCTATGAGTGAGAACATGTGGTGTTTGGTTTTTTGTCCTTGCGATAGTTTGCTGAGAATGATGGTTTCCAGCTTCATCCATGTCCCTACAAAGGACATGAACTCTTCATTTTTTATGGCTGCATAGTATTCCATGGTGTACATGTGCCACATTTTCTTAATCCAGTCTATCATTGTTGGACATTTGTGTTGGTTCCAAGTCTTTGCTATAGTGAATAGTGCTGCAATAAACATACGTGTGCATGTGTCTTTATAGCAGCATGATTTATAATCCTTTGGGTATATACCCAGTAATGGGATGGCTGGGTCAAATGGTATTTCTAGTTCTAGATCCCTGAGGAATCGCCACACTGCCTTCCACAATGGTTGAACTAGTTTACAGTCCCACCAACAGTGTAAAAGTGTTCCTATTTCTCCACATCCTCTCCAGCACCTGTTGTTTCCTGACTTTTTAATGATTGCCATTCTAACTGGTGTGAGATGGTATCTCATCGTGGTTTTGATTTGCATTTCTCTGATGGCCAGTGATGATGAGCATTTTTTCATGTGTTTTTTGGCTGCATAAATGTCTTCTTTTGAGAAGTGTCTGTTCATATCCTTTGCCCACTTTTTGATGGGGTTGTTTGTTATTTTCTTGTAAATTTGTTTGAGTTCATTGTAGATTTTGGATATTAGCCCTTTGTCAGATAAGTAGGTTGCCAAAATTTTCTCCCATTCTGTAGATTGCCTGTTCACTCTCCAGATTCTATTTTAGTAACTAATTAGCATCATTGTCAAAGGAAACAAATATGAAAAACTAGTTGTTATCCTACTCACTGTAATAGATGTTCCCTCTTGTATTTTGTTTTGTTTTTCTCCAATTACTTTTTCTATGTATTTATTCATTATGTGTCAACTATAGTTTGCAGAATTCCATTTTTCAAAGGCTTGAATTTAATGGTCATTTTTTTTGAAAAGTGAGTTACCTCTCAACACTTGGCAGTCTGTTAGAAGATTTAAATTAATGAGTTCCTAAAGCATCCAATCTATAGGGATAGTAATTCAGATACATGCCTTGGGCTAAAGTTTTCATATGCAGACCTGGAGCAGGCCAAATAGAGTGGTTCTTAGAGTACCCGTGAAACTAAGAACCACTTGATGTCTTTTATTAATATAGATATTCAATCTGGATAATTCCGTTAAAAAAAGAAGCACCTCTCCTGCATTTGCAACTATATTTTAGGACTAAATCCTCTAAATATTTTTCTACTTCCCTATGTAGAGTCACTCAAGTTGTGCCTTTAGTCATTGCTTTGAGTTGTTGGGATTTTTAATAAATTTTACCTATACCAATGAGATTGCAGCATGCTTAATTATTAAAGATGTACAAAGTGTTTGCTCAATTATACCTGAGGCTTCTTGGAGAGGTTAAGTTTGGAGTTATTTAGTAGTTTGGTTGTCAAACATATGAGAGATGAATGTTAGATGTTTGGTTTAGATAAACTATTTGTATTTTTAAATTAAGTTCACTATCACTTATTCACCATGATTCTAAGTATATAAATTATCTTTTATCTATTCTAAAATAATTGAGCTGTTCAGATTACAAACATGACTTTCTACCTTTTCTTTTTTCATATTTTCTCTGTGCAAATGTGTATGACTTTCAGAAAAGGGAGAAAGCAACCACTAGATGTTATTATGTTTTATTACTTTAAAGGTGAAAAAAGTCTTTAATGGAAGCTTAGTGGAAGAGTTAAAACATAAAATTCTACAAAATTGTAAAGCATGCAATATTATGTTCAATTTATCACGTCTGTGGCACTTTTTCTTACACCATAGTCAAAGTTAGGTTGTCTCATTGTACCTGAGGAAGATTTTTGTCAATTATTTGATTAGCTTTTTAACATCAATGAAAACTACATCCTTGGCCAAGTGCAGTGGCTCACACCCGTAATCCCAGCACTTTGGGAGGCCAAGATGGGCGGATCACTTGAGGTCAGGAGTTCAAGACTAGCCTGACCAACATGGTGAAACCCTGTCTCTACTAAAAATACAAAAATTAGCCAGGCATGGTGGCACGTGCCTGTAGTCCCAGCTACTCGGGAGGCTGAGGCATGAGAATTGCTTGAACTTGGAAGGCAGAGGTTGCAGTAAGCCGAGATCGTGCCACTGCACTCCAGCCTGGGCGACAAAGCGAGACTCCATCTCAAAACAAAAGGAAACGAAAAAGTGCATCCTCAACTAACTCTTTTAAATGTTTAAATTAAAGCTAGCCTATATATCCTTTCATACATTGTGTTGAGAAATTGAAATTATGCCTTGGATTCACGGGTTTGATCTGTACATACAAGCTGGCATTTGCTCATTCTGATCCAATATTTTTTTCTCTAATAATAAAGGATCTGTTGTCTGCAGGTCTATAAGTTCTCTCAGCATTATTCATTTTTGAAATTTAATCAGCAATAATGACTAGGAAATGGTTGATATTTTTAACATGTCTATATTTCCGTTTTAAATTGCAGTCTTTTTGTAATTTCATGTATGTAGTTGGATACCTATTGCGCATCTCTTGCAATCATTCCCTGGTATTATAATACATGATAACAGGCAGCACCCATAATGCTGGCACCCATTTATATCCATTAAGTCATAAACACCTCTGGGAACAAGATGGAAGTCTTTTCTTAATTAAATGTTCCATAGCCCTGAAAAACAAAATAACATTTGGTTCTTATACATAAGTAATAAAGGTTTAGAAAAGGCAATTTAATGTCTTAGGTCAGTAGATAACATTTATATAATTAAACAGAAATAAATACTTACGCCAAGTAAATAGAAATTGGGTGGCAGAAAAAATAATTACAGGCAAGGAGCCAAATTTTAATTGTTTTATGTTCTCAGAAATGACGGTTCTTTATAAATATTCTATCTCAGTCACCAAAAAACTACATATTATTCTATTTATATTAAATTTCCAGAACAAACAAATCTATAGAAATATAAAGTAGATTAATAGTTGCCTAGGGCTGGGAAAAGGGTATTTTGGGGAAATGGTGAATGACTGCTAATGGATATAGCTTCTTTTAGAAATGATGACTATACTAAAAGTTATTGAATCACACACTTTAAATGGATACGTCATATGGTATGTAAATTAGATCTGAATAAAGCCATTATCTTTAAAAAATAAATATATAATAATAGTAAGAATTGATAAATAATTGAGTAAATATCCTCAGGCCCCAACCCGAGATTTTGATTAAATAGTTGTGGTTCAGAGCGCAGGAACATACAAGTGTAAGAACTCCGTCCAGATGATTCTGATGTGCCATGCAGGCAGGTTAAGTGCTCCTACTCACAGAGCCCATTGGTCTTCAGACCTAAATGCAGCTCCTTCCAGGAGTAAGCCAGTACCTGTGATGCTCCATTGGTTGTTTGTTTGTTTGCACGATTGCTTGTTTTTATGTTGTTCTTGTTTGTTTGTTTCTTTTTCTTCTGCTCTCTCCTACTTGGGCCCTTTAATTTCCACTTTCACTTTCTTCTCCCTTTTCCAGGAAACAAGAGTAGTCCTCATAGTTATGGTTCGGCCTTAAGACTGCCGACTAGTAAAGATGATTAGCTGCTCTGTTTCTAAGACTCACCTGACAATTCACAACCCACAGGACATGGCTCCCATCTCCTTTCCTCACAACAGCATAGGAGCTGAGAGCAGAGCCAGAGTCTGCACATCCCCTCCCACGGCCAGTGTCCTCCGCTCCACATGACCACCTAGATTCATTCAGCAAATCTGCACTGTATTACATAGAGTAATACAGTTACTCTAAGACAAGGTTATACCCTCTAGTGATCATAAGATTTCAGAGAATGTAGAACTGTTTTCTTTTTTCTTTTTTTTTTTTTTTTTTTGAGACAGAGTCTGACTCTGTCACCCAGGCTGGAGAGCAGTGACACGATCTCTGCTCACTGCAACCTCCTCCGCCTCCTGGGTTCAAGCGATTCTCCTGCCTCAGCCTCCTGAGTAGCTGGACTACAGGCACGCACCACCACGCCTGGCTAATTTTTGTATTTTTAGTAGAGACAGGGTTTCGCCATGTTGGCCAGGCTGGTCTTGAACTCCTGAATTCCTGTGATGCACCTGCCTCGGCCTCCCAAAGTGCTGGGACTACAGGTGTGAGCCACTGTGCCCAGCCCAGAACTGTCTTCTGAACAAATACTTGGAGAATCCTGATTTAACTTTCCTAAGAGCCCTTGGAGGTAAAAATGTTTAGCCCCGAGAAAAAAATTAGTGCCTGGAATATCTGCCTTAAACTTAGAGTCTAGTGTTAGCATGTAGTGGAATTCAACAAAAAATTGCTGATTGATGGAAAACAGAGAATAGTCACACTAGAGAAACTGCCAGTGGCTGATAAAACACAAGAAAGCTATTCCTAAAAAATCATATAGGAAAACATCTTATGGTATTGTGTATTTTTAATATGTTAATTTTCTATTACCGCTTTATTTTTATATAGCCCAGAGCACATTTTTCCAAGCAGGTGAAATGTAGAAACACATTTTTCTACTGATTCTTTAGTTTTCTTCTAGTCCACATAATTACTTAGGGCCTACTTTCAGGAAGGAAACACTTGCTACTAGCAGTTCTTTAAAATGGAAATCTAAAATAAATATAATGTGTTACATATCTAGTAAATGTACATCAGACATTACATATAAGTGTATCCTCGATTCAAATGAAATGTCTAAGACAATAACACTAAATTTTTATGGCAAAATAGACAATTATCTTGAGTGCATACTTATTTTTTTAATTTTATTTTTTAAGCTGTCAATACAATTGGCTTCAGGTAGGTTTAGTTAAAAGATCTCTAGTATTTTAGATATTTGTACTCCTTTTACTGTATCTCTTATCACAAACTGCTTGAAGAGCTTCCCCCAGAATTGCAGTTCAAAATTATTTTTAATGCTGACAATAAAAAAAGAGAAGCTGGACAGTCTTAAATGTAAATAAAACTTTATATTTCATTTTGTGTAATTGTTGCAATCACTTCAAAGCAATGACTGGATATAAATGCAACATTTTCTCAAACAGTCGAATGTATTCCGGAATGTCCACAGCATGGGTGGCATAACACCGTTGATGAAAAAATTGCCTACAGTACTAGGCAGAAAATGTCATATTCTTTAGAAGGTAATTTTGGTCCAGGGTCCTGAATCTAACAGAAGCCTTTTGGTTAGAAAAAGAAAGGAGGCAATGTTTTCTTTAGACGCTTTGTGAATCAGCATTTTGATGCCATCAAATTAAGAGATGCTGTCATATCCCACATGGCCAGATGGCTGCATTGTTAGAAGCTGCTCAAAGAAGGAATTGGTTTTCTTCTAAGAAAAACTGTTAGTAAATATTTGGTCATATTCAACATTCAAATGCCTAGATTTTAAGGCAATTTGACATCATGCTTTTGGTTAATATTTTCTGAAAAAGTTTTCTTAGTAGATGTTAGCTAACTTTAGGAAAAATGAAAAAAAATCAAGCAGAGGAAATCAAAGGGCTCACCTCCTAGGCTAAAACCCTGCTGTCATCTGACCCCTTGCACAGTGATTTCCCCCTAGTGGACGCAGAATACAATGACATTTCTTGATGGTTGCATTTCACTATCAGAATAGTCTAAAATGTTGACTAAAATTAATACATGAAAACATAAAACTGCACTTATGATATGGATTTGATCCCAACAATTGTCATCATCAGTTCTTTCTATGTGTTTAATTCAAAAAGTCAAACTCATTTTTATCTTATATAAAAGCACTGATTTTGTCTGACTTTATCTGTCAAAATAAAACTGTTTAGAAAATACAGTTGCCTCGCAAAAGTTGCTGTGAATTACAATTCACTTAAAAATGACTGTGTTTTGTATTGAATACTAGATTTTCATGTCATCCTCTTCCTCACATTAGCTTTTCACAAAAATATATTTTATATCACTAGTTAATAAAATTTCACAACAAAATTTTAGTTTTACAAATGCCTACATGGAACTTCATTTATGAAAAGAGAGTCATAAATAAGAGTAATCACTGTGATTACTTGGCTAATAACCCATAATACTAAAAAAAACTGTGTATTTCCTATAGACATTCAAATTTTATTGTATGTAAGTAGTTGTGAGGAATATTTTATTAAAGTCAAAATCATAAGGTGGCATCATCTTCTCAGTGACATTTATTCCTGCAATGTTTTGTTTAAAAACCATAATAGTGATAGAAGAGCAGCATTAGAGTGTAAAAGGTGGAGTACAACCACAAGATTAGCTCTGTTCAGGAAGCAAGAGAAGAAGTGCTCGTGTTCTTTCGGGATGATGTGTGTTTCCATCTGCTTCAGCTAAGTATGTCTGCAGATGGTCTCAGTAAGGACACGTGCACAAACACACAAAAGAAATGTATTTTATGTGAAGAGAAAGGAGCTGCCATTCCAAGAAAAATGTTAGCACCTTTTATGGGTCTTTATTACCAATTATGATTCTCAACATTTTGTCTTTGTCTGTTTTTTAGCAAATGCTTCTTTGTGAGAAAACGAAGCCAATCTAAGTACTGGAAATGGTAGCCAATAGCTGGTTTATTAGCTCATTTAATTCTCCTGTAGCTTCTGTACGTATTCCCTGTACCTTTATGGGAAGAAAACTGTTTATTGACTACATTCATTGGAATTCATTCTATAAATAAGGGAAATGATTATTACAAATGTCCCTTTCTTGTACACCTGTCACCTGCACTCACCAACGAGAATTTATTGAGCATCTGCCAGATGCCTGGCACCATGCTGAGCACTGGGAATCCAGTGATGGACAGGGCCTGCCCTCATGAACTAACAGGATGTGAAGACTGCAGGAAAATCCACTACTTCTATGTTCAAGAAAAAAGGATAATTATGTAAAAATACATACTTAAAAAAATCCTTTCCTAGGTCATTTGGCATATTTGGATTTGCTCATGCAGGCATTTTACAGAGAATGCAATAAGAGCACAGTAATTATGCCTTGTTCTCCATTGGCTGGTGGCTCCAGCATGCAGCCCTAGCCTCCCCACTGACAGGTTTCTCTCCAGCTCATGCAACCGTAATGCAGAATCTTCCAGGTTTTATCATTTTAGTCACACATAACATTCACCCTAACTGCCCCTGCAAAAAAAAATAAAAACTTTATTTCAGCTTCCCACTACCAAAAGTTTCCTCCTGTAATAACACTGTAAACATGTCCCCTGACCTCCAAGCTCACCTCAAATTCAGCCTTCTCCTGGATACCATTCATGATTGATCCAGTTCTCCCAACTCCCTTCTCCAGCACACGTGGCCCATGATGTTTCTGTCACTTTAAGGACATGTCCTGCCTTCAGACAGATCATAACTCCCAAGAGCAAAAACAATGCCTTGTATTGTTTGTCTTCTCAGCACCCAGCATTGACACCAAGCACTTTGAAGACATTCGATCTCCTCATCAAACGTTCAGTCTCCTCATCAAAGCCTCCTAATCCAGGCTCACCACTCCCCAGCTCTACTAGACAGAGGCTGGTCCTGTATTCTCTACTTGGACTTCAGCATTAGTGGTTGCTTAAATCTCAATTAATAGCCCAAACTTGTAGAGATTGAAAACTTGCTAAGAGCAATCCAGTCACATTGTCTATTTCATCAAGAAGTGGATTTACTGTAAAACTACCAAAATTTAGGTTTCAGGGCTGTTAATGTGCATAGGCCCCAGTTTCAAGGCCCTTGGGACAGGGCCTATCAATGTATTCACATGGTTATGTGTTTTTGTAAAATATTCAAAGTAAGATATTTTAACTATGCTTATCTCTTTCCATTTCGACTCCTACTACCTCTTATCTCCCCGCAAACTGAGAGTCATTGGAGTGACCACAGGTGTTATTGGGCTCTGGCTTAAGGGAAATTGAGGGGGGTTCTGTTTACATGAGATATATTTATGTAGCTTCAGGTCACTTTCGTATATAGTTAAGTGATTGCTAGCCATCCACATATAGGAATGACTTCCAGGAATGCTTCTACCATCAAGAGTGGTAACTCAAGCAGACATTGCAACATGAATGTGCCAGGTCAGGGATGGTGTGAGCATATCCTACAGTTTCCAATACAAAAATATGTAGGCAGTGAGAGGAAACAAGGTTTACATATCAGAAGCTATTCTGTGTAAAATTCTTCCAATCATCAGACATGTAAAACTTAAGTGCAAGATTGGGTCCTCTTTGATGCCCAGTCAACCAGAAATTTTCTCCTTGTGGGCATTCATTTGATAGTACAGCATTGAAAATCAGAAATGCATGATGCATTTTTTTTCATGGAAATCACACCAAAGAGAATCAATCCAAATTATGTCTTTAGAGTACAAAACTGTAAAGGTACTAAAAAGAGTGAGTATGCCTATAACAACTCATATATGAAAGAAACTGTACAGTAGTTTCCCACTGATTTTGACAATAAGCTGAAAAATATTTTATCTATTTATTTATTTATTATTATACTTTAAGTTTTAGGGTACATGCGCACAATGTGCAGGTTTGTTACATATGTATACAGGTGCCATGTTGGTGTGCTGCACCCATTAACTCGTCACTTAGCATTAGGTATATGTCCTAATGCTATCCCTCCCCCCTCCTCCCACCCCACAACAGGCCCCAGAGTGTGATGTTCCCCTTCCTGTGCCCATGTGTTCTCATGGTTCAATTCCCACCTATGAGTGAGAACATGCAGTGTCTGGTTTTTTGTCCTTGCGATAGTTTTCGGAAAATGATGGTTTCCAGCTTCATCCGTGTCCCTACAAAGGACATGAACTCATCATTTTTTATGGCTGCATAGTATTCCATGGTGTATATGTGCCACATTTTCTTAATCCAGTCTATCATTGTTGGACATTTGGGTTGGTTCCAAGTCTTTGCTATTGTGAATAGTGCCGCAATAAACATACGTGTGCATGTGTCTTTATAGCAGCATGATTTATAATCCTTTGGGTATATACCCAGTAATGGGATGGCTGAGTCAAATGGTATTTCTAGTTCTAGATCCCTGAGGAATGGACACACTGTCTTCCACAATGGTTGAACTAGTTTACAGTGCCACCAACAGTGTAAAAGTGTTCCTATTTCTCCACATCCTCTCCAGCACCTGTTGTTTCCTGACTTTTTAATGATTGCCATTCTAACTGGTGTGAGATGGTATCTCATCGTGGTTTTGCTTTGCATTTCTCTGATGGCCAGTGATGAGGAGCATTTTTTCATGTGTTTTTTGGCTGCATAAATGTCTTCTTTTGAGAAGTGTCTGTTCATATCCTTTGCCCACTTTTTGATGGGGTTGTTTGTTTTTTTCTTGTAAATTTGTTTGAGTTCATTGTAGATTCTGGATATTAGCCCTTTGTCAGATGAGTAGATTGCAAAAATTTTCTCCCATTCTGTAGGTTGCCTGTTCACTCTGATGGTAGTTTCTTTTGCTGTGCAGAAGCTCTTTAGTTTAATTAGATCCCCTTTGTCAATTTTGGCTTTTGTTGCCATTGCCTTTGGTGTTTTAGACATGAAGTCCTTGCCCATGCCTATGTCCTGAATGGTATTGCCTAGGTTTTCTTCTAGGGTTTTTATGGTTTTAGGTCTAACATGTAAGTCTTTAATCCATCTTGAATTAATTTTTGTATAGGGCATAAGGAAGGGATCCAGTTTCAGCTATCTACATATGGCCAGCCAGTTTTCCCAGCACCATTTATTAAATAGGGAATCCTTTCCCCATTGCTTGTTTTTGTCAGGTTTGTCAAAGATCAGATGGTTGTAGATATGTGGCATTATTTCTGAGGGCTCTGTTCTGTTCCATTGATCTATATCTCTGTTTTGGTACCAGTGCCATGCTGTTTTGGTTACTGTAGCCTTGTAGTAAAGTTTGAAGTCAGGCAGTGTGATGCCTCCAGCTTTGTTCCTTTGGCTTAGGATTGACTTGGCGATACAGGCTCTTTTTTTGTTCCATATGAACTTTAAAGTAGTTTTTTCCAATTCTGTGAAGAAAGTCATTGGTAGCTTGATGGGGATGGCATTGAATCTATAAATTACCTTGGGCAGTATGGCCATTTTCACAATATTGATTCTTCCTACCCATGAGCATGGAATGTTCTTCCATTTGTTTGTATTTTCTTTTATTTCCTTGAGCAGTGGTTTGTAGTTCTCCTTGAAGAGGTCCTTCACATCCCTTGTAAGTTGGATTCCTAGGTATTTTATTCTCTTTGAAGCAGTTGTGAATGGGAGTTCACTCATGATTTGGCTCTCTGTTTGTCTGTTATTGGTGTATAAGAATGCTTGTGATTTTTGTACATTGATTTTGTATCCTGAGACTTTGCTGAAGTTGCTTATCAGCTTAAGGAGATTTTGGGCTGAGACAATGGGGTTTTCTAGATATACAATCATGTCATCTGCAAACAGGGACAATTTGACTTCCTCTTTTCCTAATTGAATACCCTTTATTTCCTTCTCCTGCCTAATTGCCCTGGCCAGAACTTCCAACACTATGTTGAATAGGAGTGGTGAGAGAGGGCATCCCTCTCTTGTGCCAGTTTTCAAAGGGAATGCTTCCAGTTTTTGCCCATCCGGAATGATATTGGCTGTGGGTTTGTCATAGATAGCTCTCATTATTTTGAGATATGTCCCATCAATACCTAATTTATTGAGAGTTTTTAGCATGAAGCGTTGTTGAATTTTGTCGAAAGCCTTTTCTGCATCTATTAAGATAATCATGTAGTTTTCATCTTTGGTTCTGTTTATATGCTGGATTATGTTCATTGATTTGCATATGTTGAACCAGCCTTGCATCCCAGGGATGAAGCCCACTTGATCATGGTGGATAAGCTTTTTGATGTGCTGCTGGATTCGGTTTGCCAATATTTTATTGAGGATTTTTGCATCAATGTTCATCAAGGATATTGGTCTAAAATTCTCTTTTTTGGTTGTATCTCTGTCAGGCTTTGGTATCAGGATGATGCTGGCCTCATAAAATGAGTTAGGGAGGATTCCCTCTTTTTCTACTGATTGGAATAGTTTCAGAAGGAATGGTACCAGTTCCTCCTTGTACCTCTGGTAGAATTCGGCTGTGAATCCATCTGGTCCTGGACTTCTTTTGGTTGGTAAGCTATTGATTATTGCCACAATTTCAGAGCCTGTTATTGCTCTACTCAGAGATTCAACTTCTTCCTGGTTTAGTCTTGGGAGGGTGTATATGTCGAGGAATTTATCCATTTCTTCTAGATTTTCTAGTTTATTTGCGTAGAGGTGTTTGTAGTATTCTCTGATGGTAGTTTGTATTTCTGTGGGATCAGTGGTGATATCACCTTTATCATTTTTTATTGCATCTATTTGATTCTTCTCTCTTTTCTTCTTTATTAGTCTTGCTAGCGGTCTATCAATTTTGTTGATCTTTTCAAAAAACCAGCTCCTGGATTCATTAATTTTTTGAAGGATTTTTTGTGTCTCTATTTCCTTCAGTTCTGCTCTGATTGTAGTTATTTCTTGCCTTCTGCTAGTTTTTGAAAGTGTTTGCTCTTGCTTTTCTAGTTCTTTTAATTGTGACGTTAGGGTGTCGATTTTGGATTTTTCCTGCTTTCTCTTGTGGGCATTTAGTGGTATAAATTTCCCTCTACATACTTCTTTGAATGTGTCCCAGAGATTCTGGTATGTTGTGTCTTTGTTCTCATTGGTTTCAAAGAACATCTTTATTTCTGCCTTCATTTCGTTATGTATCCAGTAGTCATTCAGGAGCAGGTTGTTCAGTTTCCATGTAGTTGAGTGGTTTTGAGTGAGTTTCTTAGTCCTGAGTTCTAGTTTAATTGCACTGTGGTCTGAGAGAAAGTTTGTTATAATTTCTGTTCTTTTACATTTGCTGAGGAATGCTTTACTTCCAACTATATGGTCAATTTTGGAATAGGTGTGGTGTGGTGCTGAAAACAATGTATATTCTATTGATTTGGGGTGGAGACTTCTCTAGATGTCTATTAGGTCTGCTTGCTGCAGAGATGAGTTCAATTCCTGGGTATCCTTGTTAACTTTCTGTCTCGTTGATCTGTCCAATGTTGACAGTGGGGTGTTAAACTCTCCCGTTATTATTGTATGGGAATCTAAGTTTCTTTGTAGGTCACTAAGGACTTGCTTTATGAATCTTGGTGCTCCTGTATTGGGTGCATATATATTTAGGATAGTTAGCTATTCTTGTTGAATTGATCCCTTTACCATTATGTAATGGCCTTCTTTGTCTCTTTTGATCTTTGTTAGTTTAAAGTCTGTTTTATCAGAGACTAGGATTGCAACCCCTGCCTTTTTTTGTTTTCCATTTGCTTGGTAGATCTTCCTCCATCCCTTTATTTTGAGCCTATGTGTGTCTCTGCACGTGAGATGGGTTTCCTGAATACAGCACACTGATGGGTCTTGACTCTTTATCCAATTTGCCAGTCTGTGTCTTTTAATTTGAGCATTTAGCCCATTTACATTTAAAGTTAATATTGTTATGTGTGTATATGGTCCTGTCATCATGATGTTAGCTGGTTATTTTGCTCGTTAGTTGATGCAGTTTTCTTCCTAGCCTCGATGGTCTTTACATTTTGGCATGTTTTTGGAGTGGCAGGTACCGGTTGTTCCTTTCCATGTTTAGTGCTTCCTTCAGGAGCTCTTGTAGGGCAGGCCTGGTGGTGACAAAATCTCTCAGTATTTGCTTGTCTGTAAAGTATTTTATTTCTCCTTCACTTATGAAGCTTAGTTTGGCTGGATATGAAATTCTGGGTTGAAAATTCTTTTCTTTAAGAATGTTGAATATTGGTCCCTACTCTTTTCTGGCTTGTAGAGTTTCTGCCAAGAGATCAGCTGTTAGTCTGATGGGCTTCCCTTTGTGGGTAACCCGACCTTTCTCTCTGGCTGCCCTTAACATTTTTTCCTTCATTTCAACTTTGGTGAATCTGACAATTATCTTGGAGTTGCTCTTCTCGAGGAGTATCTTTGTGGCGTTCTCTGTATTTCCTGGATCTGAATGTTTGCCTGCCTTGCTAGATTGGGGAAGTTCTCCTGGATAACATCCTGCAGAGTGTTTTCCAACTTGGTTCCATTCTCCCCGTCAGTTTCAGGTACAGCAATCAGACGTAGATTTGGTCTTTTCACATAATGCCATATTTCTTGGAGGCTTTGTTCGTTTTTTTAATTCTTTTTTCTCTAATCTTCCCTTCTCGCTTCATTTCATTCATTTCATCTTCCATCAATGATACCCTTTCTTCCAGTTGATCGCATCAGCTCCTTAGGCTTCTGTATCCTTCATGTAGTTCTCGAGCCTTGGCTTTCAGCTCCATCAGCTCCTTTAAGGACTTCTCTGCGTTGGTTATTCTAGTTATCCATTCATCTAATTTTTTTTCAAAGTTTTTAACTTCTTTGCCATTGGTTTGAATTTCCTCCTGTAGTTCGGAGTAGTTTGATCGTCTGAAGACTTCTTCTCTCAGCTCATCAAAGTCATTCTCCGTCCAGCTTTGTTCCGTTGCTGGTGAGGAGCTGCGTTCCTTTGGAGGAGGAGAGGCGCTCTGCTTTTTAGAGTTTCCAGTTTTTCTGCTGTTTTTTCCCCATCTTTGTGGCTTTATCTACTTTTGGTCTTTGATAATGGTGATGTACAGAAGGGTTTTTGGTGTGGATGTCCTTTCTGTTCGTTAGTTTTCCTTCTAGCAGACAGGACCCTCAGCTGCAGGTCTGTTGGAGTTTGCTAGAGGTCCATTCCAGACCATGTTTGTCTTGGTATCAGCAGCGGTGGCTACAGAACAGCGGTGGCTGTAGAACAGCAGATCTTGGTGAACTGCAAATGCTGCTGCCTGATCGTTCTTCTAGAAGTTTTGTCTCAGAGGAGTATCTGGCCGTGTGAGGTGTCAGTCTGCTCCTACTGGGGGGTGCCTCCGAGTTAGGCTGCTCGGGGGTCAAGGACCCGCTTAAGGAGGCAGTCTGCCCATTCTCAGATCTCCAGCTGCGTGCTGGGAGAACCACTACTCTCTTCAAAGCTGTCAGACAGGGACATTTAAGTCTGCAGAGGTTACTGCTGTCTTTTTGTTTGTCTGTGCCCTGCCCCCAGAGGTGGAGCCTACAGAGGCAGGCAGGCCTCCTTGAGCTGTGGTGGGCTCCACCCAGATCGAGCTTCCTGGCATTTTTGTTTGCCTAATCAAGCCTGGGCAATGGCCAACACCCCTCCCCCAGCCTCGCTGCTGCCTTGCAGTTTGATCTCAGACTGCTGTGCTAGCAATCAGGGAGACTCCATGGGCGTAGGACCCTCTGAGCCAGGTGCGGGATATAATCTCCTGGTGTGCTGTTTTTTAAGCCCGTTGGAAAAGCACAGTATTAGGGTGGGAGTGACCCAATTTTCCAGGTGCCGTCTGTCACCCCTTTCTTTGACTAGGAAAGGGAACTCCCTGACCCCTTGCTCTTCCCAAGTGAGGCAACACCTCGCCCTCCTTTGGCTCATGCACGGTGCGCTGCATCCACTCTCTGGCACTCCCTAGTGAGATGAGCCTGGTACCTCAGATAGAAATGCAGAAATCACCCATCTTCTGCATCGCTCACACTGGGAGCTGTAGACCAGAGCTGTTCCTATTCGGCCATCTTGGCTCCACCCTCGTAAAACATATTTTCAATAAAAATCTGGAAGTTAAAAAATCAGTCAACCATGTCAGAGGAAAACTAGCTTATTTTTCTAGTTTCTCTAGAGAAGACAATATTTCAATATTGCTTTCACATGAAGAGGTGACCAAAGAGTAGTTAGTCAAAAATGTAAAAAAAAAAAAATATTATGGAGGTGCATTGGGCAGTCAATTAGATATCATATTCCTGGCAGTTTTTATGTTTTTAGTATTTGCCAGCCCTTTTAAGTTCTAGCTTTCTTGTAATTCCTTTTTTCCTTCTAAAGAAGTAAATATTCAGTCTCACACCTAATTTAGAATATTTTAATTTTTTTATTTTTTTTTTTTTGTTTTTTGTTGTTTTTTTTTTTTTTTTTTTGAGATGGTATCTTGCTCTGTTGCCAGGCTGGAGTGCAGTGGCGTTATCTTGGCTCACTTGCAACCTCTGCCTCCCAGCTTCAAGCGATTCTCCTGCCTCAGCCTCCTGAGTAGCTGGGAATACAGGTGTGCGCCACCACACCCGGCTGTTTTTTGTATTTTTAGTAGAGACGGGGTTTCACCACGTTGGCCAGGAGAGTCTCAATCTCTTGACCTCTTGATCCGCCCACCTTGGCCTCCCAAAGTGCTGGGATTACAGGCGTGAGCCACCGTACGCGGCCGTTATTCCATTTCTTAAAGAAGGCCTCCCCACATTGCATGCACATCAGGCCTTAAGAAGCCTGGATCATCCCCTACTATGAAGATATTGCAAGATGTGCATGAGAAGTATAAGCAAGAAGTTGGTTTGTGTCTTGCTTTGTTTTTATCTTGGTTCAGGTAGCAAATGTGGAGAGTGTCCTCCAGGTGTAGGTAGAGTTTCATATAGTAGCCTAAAATGGGTGAAAAGAGAGTTCATCCTCAGAAAACTAAAGAAAATGTTGGAGGGCAGACAAATTGCTACTATAGAGGCCTTTCTTTGCTCTCTGATCTCTGCTTTGCCCTCTGCCACTGTGATGCATGATAATAAAAGCTTTGTCATGCCCAGGAGCAAGGTAATGGGCCTTTCTTTAAGGTGAATGGAAAATCTTCTCATCAATTCAATACCACCAGTGCCAGCTGCATGTTATTAAAAGTCCCTGAGGACTGATGGATATTGAACTAGTTTTCCAAGGGCAAAGTTTCAATTATTATATGAATATTATCAAACTTCCCTAGATCATGAACTGCTTCTGAGCTCCATCTTCTATTTATGCTTCCATTTGCACTGTCTGCAAAGGGACTCATGCCAATTTCTTCCTATTTTTCCATCTTATTAACCCAGAGCAAAAAGAACTTCTGAATGGGAGTGTGGGTCCTTTCATGCCCTTTCTTCCCCCTAATGCCCATCAAGTTATTCTTAACAGGCAGATGGTGCATCCTAGGGTTGCACTTCAAGGATCTTGTGAGTCCATGAAACTTGAAGAAATCTCCTATTCTTTGGGACTAAAGCAGTAGTGATCTTTACACTTCTATTTCAGTTTTTAAGATCTTTCTCAAAACCTTTCCATTATTTTTTTAACCTCAAAAAGAAAAAAGATGGACTAAGAAACCATGATCCCAAAAAGTAACTAAGATCAGAAAGCCCCATATATTTGCAGGCATCTGAAAGTTCAAATGTCTAACTAAATTCCAGGTAATTAATGTTCTCAGTTTTGTAACATCAAATCAACTAGTTAGAAATAAAAACCTTTGGATGATTGCTAGCAAAGTATTAGAGAACCTCATTTGCATTTTCTCATTTAGCCCAAACCTAACTAGACCTAATTACCAACACTTCCCTTCCTCTAGGCCTGCCTGCAGTCAGATTCTCTTATTCCCTGTGGCTTGACAGCGTTACACTTTCTCACCTCAAAGTATTAATCATGCTGTCTGTCCAACCCACTAGTGATGGTCCCCACCCATTCCCTACCCAACAAAAGTCTTTTTATCTTTCAAAAACATAGCTAACCTCTTTGAAAACTTTAACTTTCTTTTCTCCAACCCCATCTGAATGCTCATAGTAGTTTTCTAACTATGTGGTATATTTGGGATTTAAATTACAGGCATGAGTCACTTACTGTTAGGGACATGTTATGAGAAATGCATGATTAGGTGATTTTGTCACTGTTTGAACATCATAGACTATACTTAGACAAGTCTAGATGACATAGCTTACTGTACCTGTAGGTTATATGGTATAACCTATTACTCCTAGGCTATAAACCTGTACAGCATGTTTCTGTCCTAAATACCACAGGCAACTGAAACACAATCATTAAGTATTTGTATATCTAAACATATGTAAACATAGAAAAGGTAAAAACAGTAAAAATACGGTATTATAATCTTAAAGGACCACTGTTGTATATGTGATCAGTTCTTGACCAAAATGTTGTTCATTATGCAACATATGACTTTATAACAATGTTTCACTGTTGTTCAGATTTATTGTTTAATATTATGGCTATTGTTTTTAGACTAACCCATTCAGACATTTATCCAACATAGCTAACAAAGAGGCAAATTGTATAACAAGGTTAAATAAAGTAAAATGAACTAAAACAATGTGGCAAAGAGGAGTCCTGGCTTATTATGCACTACATTAAAAGTGGGTAGAGAAAAGGAGCAAAAATGAGAAGAGGAAAGGAGAAAATAGAGAAAAGTATTTATTGCAATTACAAACAGAGGCTTAGAGCATAAAAAGTTATTTTTCCTATTTCATGAGATCTGATAACACCTTATAAACTTGAAGATTTTGTTGTAACTGTTCTATTGGCTCTAATACAAGCAGACTTTTTTAGTATGTTGGGCCATGAAAGGAAGCGGGCATTTGTTGTGACCAGTGGGAAGCTGAGCAGGGTGTTGGAGAGCTATTTGGAGGCTCAAAAGTGAAATTACTATTTCTTTTTTTCTTTTTTCTTTTTTTTTTTTTTTTCAGATGCAGTCTCACACTGTCGCCAGGCTGGAGTGGGCATGACCTCGGCTCACTGCAACCTCCGCCTCCTGGGTTCAAGCAATTCTCCTGCCTCAGCCTCCCGAGTAGCTGGGACTACAGGCGCGTGCCAACACACCCAGCTAATTTTTGTATTTTTAGTAGAGACAGTGTTTCACCATGTTGGCCAGGATGGTCTCGATCTCCTGACCTCGTGATCTGCCCGCCTTGGCCTCCTAAAGTGCTGGGATTACAACCATAAGCCACTGCGCCCGCCCTGAAATGACTATTTCTATGCCAAACTGTCTAAGATGTGGAAGACTCCCAAAGCATTTGCCCCAACTGATTCCTGCTTTCTTTCTTCTAAAAAGACAGTCAGGTTTTTGACTTTAACGTACTATTTTTGCCCTCTTTTCCCAGGTCTGCTTTGTGAATCTTGATGTGAACAAGGATGAATGCAGCACAGAGCACCTGCAACAGGTAACATTTGAAACTCAAGCTGACCGGGAGGTCATTACAAGGACTATTCAACTTGATTTCATCTGTAAATAATGCTCATTTTGTAGGAGACTCTTTAGTTAGATAGTTTCATTACAGGCCATTTCCCCGACCCTTTCCCTAGCACTTACCCTCTACCGTTTGCCCTTTTTACATTTGTGAAACTTGCTCTCCCATGTAGGCAGAACTGTCCAAACAGGCACACATCCTCTTGCCCATCAGTGCCTTAAAATGACTATTTGTAGATGACTTTTCTAAGAATTTTCCAAAACCTGCTGATACCAGCCAACCCTCCCCTCTGTCTCTCAGATTTGCTTCTTCCTGCTGCTTTCATCAAATGCTTTACCTGTACCCTTGGCTTGAACTTTTTGCATCCTGTTGCAGCTAAAATTCTCCAAGTGCATCCAAGGCAGTGAGGGCCCTGATGTAAATGCTTGACAGTATGCAAGGACTTGAAGATCTATTCAGTCCTCTGGAACAAGAGCCTGCTGATACAATGGGAAGAATTAAGTGCTGTAATAAGGTTGCCATTCCATGCTAAAACCTGACAATGGTTTGAATTTACCATTTGGTGTAATACTGTTTAATGTATAACAGCACACGATTTGCCACTTGATTTTCACAGAACAGTAGACCTGCAATTACTCGGTTACTGACAGTTATTCCCATATTGACAATGCTGCACTTCAAGCTTCTCAAACCCAGTTTCCCACACAGCTAATTGATTACAAATTTTCACCGAGCCCCAAATATCATCATATGTGTAGTACTATGGGATTTTCAAAAGAAATTACACATACAATTGTATTTGATAGAATTATGGTGCAGAGTCCATCAAAGAGCAGGGAGGGCCAAAGCAAGTTGGTATCTAAGAGTAGTGTGTTTGAAGAGTTTACGTGAGTGATTTGAAATAATTGTCTGCTATGGCTAAGAGCATGCAGACACCTTGGCACTGATTTAGCTATATGAACTGTGCAAGTTACTGGGCCTGGTCCTGAGGCTGCTTGTGTATAACATGAAAGGAATAATGGTACCTAATCCATGTAGGGTTATTGTGAAGATTAAATGTAGTCAGATTTAACATATATACAGGCTCTAGCATAGTGCTTAGTACACAGAGTAAAATCAATGCTAGTCACAATTTTATTATAATTATTATTATTCACAATTAGAAAAGAAGAGGTATTAGTCCATTTTCAGGATGCTGATAAACACATACCCGATACTGGGCAATTTACATAAGAAAGAGGTTTATTGGACTTATAAGAAAGAGGTTTATTGGATTTACAGTTCCACCTGGCTGGGGAGGCCTCACAATCATGATGGAAGGCAAGGAGGAGCAAGTCACATCTCATGTGGATGGCAGCAGGCAAAGAGAGAGCTTGTGCAGAAAAATTCCCACTTTTTAAAACCATCAGATCTCATGAGACCCACTCACTATCACAAGAACAGTGCAGGAGAGACTCGCCCCCATGATCCAATCATCTCCCACCAGGTCCCTCCCACAACACGTGGCAATTATAGCAGCTACAAGATGAGATTTGGATGGGGACACAGAGCCAAGCCATATCGGAAGATTATTAGTTAAAACAAAAAATGTTTTATGCAAGGTCTTAAAAGGGAAAATTTTTCCAAGTTACTGTTTATACCTGTGGTATGATAGTAATTACTATCATAATGTTTACTTTATGTTTACTTTGTAAAATGTTTACTTTTGTAAAATGTAGAACTAAAGAGTTTTTGAAGCTTATATTTTCTCTTTCAATCTAAACTTGCATGCTTCCATTTTATAAAATTTCTTCTAGTAAGAATCTTGGTAGATTAAGCAGTCTATATGTATGAGCAGTTATGAGTATTATTTCTGAAGGTAAAGTAGTTTGTGAGTAGTATTTGGTGAAAAGAAATCAGCTAAACTAATAAAGATTCTTGCTTTACAGAAACTGGTCAACGTTTCACCAGATCTTCCAAAACTTATCAGTTCCATGAATGTCCAACAACCAAAAGAAAATGAAATTGTTGTCCTAAGTGGGTTAGCCTCTGGAAATCTCCAGGCAGATTTTGAAGTTTCACAGGTAAGACATAAGTTCTTGATAAGCCATTTACTTACATCTATAGTTAGCTCAGCACAGATCAGTGTAAACCCCAAACAGATGCTACACATAAGCTTCTGTAACATAGGAATCAAAGTGTCTTTATATTTGAGAAAAGTCTGCATTTGTATTTCTCTTAAATAGAGCCACTTAGAGTTTGACAGAGCTTTTCTTACATCAACTCCTAATTTCTATTATCTTCTCAAATTCCTAAGTTGTATTTGAACTAGAGCAGATAGAGTAGGCATTGGTTACTTAGCTTGGTTTTCTACAAATCTACTGGATAAACAAAAACAGAATCATCTTCTCTTTTAGGAGCAGTATGAAAATTCTATTTCAGAATCCCACAATATCATCTTTCAGATGTTATGTATTCCTTAGGAGGTACCAAACTAGCCAAGCTAGTAAATCCAGGATGGCAGCTTCAAGGATGGAAAGAGAGTGTCTTGGGCCCAATAAATAAAATATCCCTCCTCCAAAACAAACGTTATTAAAAATAAACAGTAACTAAAATACTACTATTATCATTCCGTGCACTCATGTTCATTCCTATTATATAAATCACTATAACATTATTTATTTAAAGATATGTAAGTAAAATTGTTTAATTAATTAATTTACAAGAAAAATACACATAAAGTATATTACAGTGATATGTAACAGCTCCAGATTAAAATGATGAGCATTTGTTTTCCACAAATTGTTCTTCCTTGGGTTTTAATTTCACTGTCAATTTTTAAAGTCTTCTTTTATCCTTCAACTCTTCAAAATCTCAAAAAGCCCAAAAGTCTCCAAATTTCAAGAAACATAATACAGTGTGATAAATCAATTAATAAACGAGGAGGCTTTATTTCCAGGTAATCACATCTCCCTGACTTTGTAGCTACTAACAAGGCTTGTGTCCTATAAGTTTTACATGAATCCTAGGTAATTTGTGGCTTGTCAAATAATTGTACATTATGTCTTTGAGAGTGAAGATTTTATTCCCGTTTTCTTTCTAGAATTCACAGATTTAAAAAAAAAAAAAAAAAAACTGCCTCTGCATTATAGAACACTTTTCCTAGCTTTTGGCAAGTACAGGTATTACTGAGAAATTCCAGCTTTCTTTCAATATCTCTATGAAAATTGGTATTGACATTAATTGGACTTGACCTTGAGTTTAACTTACTAGACCCTGATTAATCCCAGTTAGGATTCTTAATTTAACATGGCAGAAAATAAGCTTAAGCAAAAAGAGAACATATTGTTTCATGTAACCAGAAAAATCCAGGAGTAGATTAGAGACTTAAACAATGTCATCAACACATGGATTTTTCTCTTGTGGCCTCTTTCCTGTTTTCTTTCCGTTGGCCCCATTATCAGACAAGCTCCTCCCACAAGGAAGCAATATCTTTTTGGGTTCAAGTCGGGAAAGAGTGAATGGGACGTCATTTCCAGGTGGTTTTCAGCAGAAGTCTCATTGCATCCTATTGGCTCTCATATGTCACATGCCCATTTCTGAACCAATCACTATGACCCAAGGAATGCATTATTCAGATTGGCCAGGCTTAAGTCACATGATCACCCCTGGCGCTGGAAGTGAATCAACTCCGTGTGAATCACTTGGACTCTGCTGAGGTTGACTCACTGATAGTATAGTGTGCCCTTCTCCCCAGAGCAATTGTCTGATTCATTTTTGCACCTCCTTGCATAATTTGCATACAATAGGCACTCGGAAAATGCACCTCCTTGCATAATTTGCATGCAATAGGCACTCGGAAAATACTGGGTAAGTTTCAGCTTAGTGTAGTGTGTCTAAACTCAGTGGAAAGAAAATTAAGCCAACTTCTGCTTACTCTACAACAGCAGTTCCTCTCCATTCGGGGGATCACAGATACTTTGTGAATTCAATAAAAGCTATGGACCAGTGGGTCTCAAATGCTAATGCATGTACACATCTCCAACAGATTCATTGGAAATGCAGATTCTGATTGAGTAGATCTGGGTTGAGGCCTGAGAGTAAATATTTCCAACAAGCTCCCTGGTGATGCCATGGCTGCAGGTCCATACCCACACTTAGAAAAGCAAGGCAATGGACCACCTTCTTTGAAAAATAGACCTAATCACATATGCATTTAGGGGAATTTTATTTTTGAGCCCCCAGGGGATTCCTAAACCCCTTGGAGAAGGATTGAATTTTTCATTTTATAATCATCTCTCCTAGAATTATTGGAACCTTTTATTACGATTCCAATGAGCAATAAATAATATGAATAGTGACAATGTGTAGTGGAGAATGAGGATATGGTTTGTAACCCTAGAACGGAACAGAATTAACAGGTCTGACTAGTACATGATTCTATAATTTGGGCCTCTTTATCACTGTTTTTCCCATACGCTGGTCTTTTAGAGATAATTAGTTCACTTCCTATGGATTTCATTTAATTTCATGTTGACTGCTTCTTCAGATAAGCAATACAAATTATAGAATCTAACTGTAGTTGATAGAACACTTACTGTACATCTGAAGTACTAGTAGTAGAGGTTTTACTGAGTATCTTCAAGGCAGAGAAAGATACTGATCTGAGAAACTGGGACTCAATTTAATCAAGAGAGGTAACCAAGACAGCGTTGACATTCCCTTCAGCTTGACCAAAATTTAGACAGGCTCCTTCCTGACTCTAGACCCTGACTTCCCTTTTCTTAGAGCATTTAATCTAGAAAATTTATAATTGTAAATTCCTCCTGTGCCTTTTTGAGATGTAAATCCTTTTGTAAAAGCCTCTTGCCAGCTTTATACCCAGAAATGTCTTTCTCAAGGACCTGGGAGCTGTCTCTTTGAAATGTAATCATCAAGGAAGATAGTTCCCTTAAAGTCCCCAGTCTTTATGGGAGCATGAGAACCTAACTTCACTGGGCATCTTGCTCCAGGTTGTAAAACTACCTCCTGTCATAAAGATACAAGAAAGTTTACTGTTTCTTTGGGTAAAGCCAATTATCAAACACAGATGACCTATGATCTCCCCCATCACTCTAGCCCTTAAAAACCCTATTGCCTTTTGTTTCAGTGGAGTTGTGGTCCAACTTAATTCTGGCCTCTCTTCCCTATTTTAATAGCCTCAAATAAAAATCTTCTTTGCCTGTTTAACTTTACCCAGTTGAATTTTTGCTTTGACCAAGGGAAATTAAAATATGTGATACAGCCGATCTATTTTTCCCTAAGTCAGGCTTTCTCCTAGGTACCTTGTGTTCCAAACATCACTTGAATTTTTTTCAAGCAGTTTATTAATATAATTCCAGAAGACATTTCAAATATTTTAAAGGTCCCCACTCCTATTAACAGGAGAGCTTGGTGGAAAAGGAAAGCTCAGAGGCAATAGTCTTTTATTTTCCCTTTTGAATAAATGCCTTCTTTTCTCTCCACTTTTAGTGCCCTTGGCTGCCAGATATCTGCTTGGTCCAATGTGCAAGAGGGAACAGACCAAACAGTACCAACTGCATCATCTTTGAAATCAACAAATTTCTGATTGGTCTGGAACTGGTGCAGGAGCGACAGCTCCACCTGGAAACAAACATCTTGAAACTGGAGGATGACACGAACTGTTCCTTATCTTCAATCGAGGAAGACTTTCTCACCGCTTCTGAGCACTTGGAGGAGGAAAGCGAGGTGGATGAATCTAGGAACGGTGAGAACTTTCCAATTAGTGCCTCCTGAAATTAGTCCCCGTATAAAAATGTCTTGGTGAGATTTCAGAAAAGTTCCAGGCCACATCAGTTTGGCTGACACATCACAGTCTTTACTTGCTGAATTTTAAGGAAGGAAGGAAGGAGGATATGAGAACACTGGTGAAGATACTGACAAACTCACTTAGCGGACTTAATGGTTGGATGGATCCAGACTCCCAAAAGATGCCTTAGGCATACTGAAGGGAATTTGTGTACTTTAAAGGAAAATCCTCCTGCCTGCCAAGAGATGGAGGCTATCACTGGGAGGAAAGTTAACTTCCCTAAGACTTCCATAAAAGCCATATATTAGTTGAAGCCAAGTTGGACCAGCCTGGATTTGAATCCCAGCACTGCCACATTGAGGCTGTGAGATCTGGCGCCAGTTATCTAATCTTTCCTAGCCTAGTTTGTTTGTCTAATTTGGGAGTACGATCATGCCTATAGCTAATGATTTTTGTGAAGACAGAAAGAGATAATCCAGGAAAGTGCTTAGTACCCATTTATTCAGCTCTTCCTGTTGACCCATTCACAGAGCTCAATGAACAATGCGTTCCTCCTCCCCACTTTTAGCCACAGAGGAAGGGGTACCCCAGATGTTGTTGCCACTGTCCCTGGGACAAGTCTCATGCAAACTTTAGAACAAATCTTTGCAGCAAGTCCCACTACTGAGGTTGCCGTAAACATCCTCCCTTCTCCTTCTGTACCCACTGGGAAGCTCTAAGATGCAACTGTCTGGGTTGCTTTCCCCTGAAAAATGGTGGCAGCCCTCAGCCCTCAAACATCTCCTACTTGCATTTGTATCCCATATGGAAAGCCATTTTGTTGGGTGGCATTCTATCATGAAATTTGAAAGCCTTTTCAGATTCATTTTTCTTGAGGAAAACCATTCAAACTGTTATTCTTGAAGGGGGAAAAAAAGTCAATGCTTTATTTTTATTTATTTATTTTATTTTTATTATACTTTAAGTTCTAGGCTACATGTGCACAACATGCAGGTTTGTTACATATGTATACATGTGCCATGTTGGTGTGCTGTACCCATTAACTTGTCATTTACATTAGGTATATCTCCTAATGCTAGCCCTCCCCACTCCCCCCGCCAACAACAGGCCCTAGTGTGTGATGTTCCCCACCCTGCATCCAAGTGTTCTTATTGTTCAATTCCCACCTATGAGTGAGAACATGCGGTGTTTGGTTTTCTGTCCTTGTGATACTTTGCTCAGAATAATGGTTTCCGGCTTCATCCATGTCCCTACAAATGACATGAACTCATCCTTTTTTTATGGCTGCATAGTATTCCATGGTGTATATGTACCACATTTTCTTAATCCAGTCTATCATTGATGGACATTTGGGTTGGTTCCAAGTCTTTGCTATTGTGAATAGTGCTGCAATAAACATATGTGTGCATGTGTCTTTATTGATGTTTTATTTTTAGAAAGTAATTATTACTTAAGACTTATGGTAACCTGCTATCCAAAAAGTAATAGTGCCCCTCATTTTCTCCTCACTAGATTATGAAAATATAAATGTCTCAGCCAATGTTTTGGAAAGTAAACAGCTAAAGGGAGCCACCCAGGTGGAATGGAATTGCAACAAGGAAAAGTGGCTTTATGCTTTGGAAGACAAATACATCAACAAATATCCCACACCATTGATTAAAACAGAACGATCTCCAGAAAACCTAACAAAGAACACAGCCTTGCAGAGTCTAGATCCCTCAGCCAAGCCATCACAGTGGAAAAGAGAAGCTGTGGGGAATGGGAGACAAGCCACACATTATTATCATTCAGAAGCTTTTAAAGGTCAAATGGAAAAATCACAGGCACTGTATATTCCAAAAGATGCTTATTTCTCCATGATGGATAAAGATGTACCTTCTGCATGTGCTGTGGCAGAGCAGAGAAGCAACCTAAACCCAGGAGACCATGAAGACACAAGAAACGCTCTCCCTCCTAGACAAGATGGAGAAGTCACCACTGGCAAGTATGCTACAAATTTAGCAGAATCCGTGCTGCAGGATGCATTTATTAGATTATCTCAATCTCAGTCCACATTACCCCAGGAATCTGCAGTCAGTGTTTCTGTAGGAAGTTCTCTGCTTCCCAGTTGCTATTCCACAAAAGATACAGTGGTTTCTCGGTCATGGAATGAGCTCCCCAAAATCGTCGTTGTTCAGAGTCCAGATGGCAGTGATGCTGCCCCACAGCCAGGCATCTCCTCCTGGCCTGAGATGGAAGTCTCTGTTGAAACCTCAAGCATCCTCTCTGGAGAGAACTCCAGCAGACAACCCCAGAGTGCTCTAGAAGTGGCGTTAGCTTGTGCAGCCACTGTGATTGGAACTATTTCCAGTCCACAGGCCACAGAAAGACTCAAAATGGAGCAAGTGGTCTCGAACTTTCCCCCAGGGAGCAGTGGTGCACTGCAAACTCAAGCACCCCAAGGACTCAAGGAACCTTCCATCAATGAGTACTCCTTTCCATCTGCTTTGTGTGGCATGACTCAGGTGGCCAGTGCCGTGGCTGTCTGTGGTCTGGGTGAAAGAGAAGAGGTGACATGCTCAGTGGCTCCAAGTGGTAGCCTCCCGCCTGCAGCTGAGGCTTCTGAAGCCATGCCCCCACTTTGTGGTTTAGCAAGCATGGAGCTTGGCAAGGAAGCCATTGCCAAGGGATTGCTCAAGGAGGCTGCTCTGGTTTTAACAAGGCCTAATACCTACAGCAGCATTGGAGACTTTCTGGACTCCATGAACAGGAGAATCATGGAAACTGCTTCAAAGTCTCAGACCCTGTGCTCAGAAAATGTCGTCAGGAATGAACTGGCACATACCCTGTCCAATGTTATCCTGAGGCATTCCATTGATGAAGTTCACCACAAAAATATGATAATCGACCCCAATGACAACAGGCATTCATCTGAAATTCTGGACACCTTAATGGAAAGTACAAATCAACTGCTTTTAGATGTGATATGCTTCACGTTCAAGAAGATGAGTCATATTGTACGGCTTGGTGAATGTCCTGCTGTCCTTTCTAAGGAGACCATCAGAAGGAGGGAGACAGAACCAAGCTGCCAGCCATCTGATCCGGGTGCTAGTCAAGCTTGGACAAAAGCCACTGAATCCTCCAGCAGCTCTCCACTTAGCAATTCACACAACACGAGTCTTGTCATCAACAATCTTGTGGATGGCATGTATTCAAAACAAGACAAGGGTGGAGTGAGGCCAGGCCTCTTCAAGAACCCCACGCTGCAGTCACAATTATCACGTAGTCACAGAGTGCCCGATTCTTCAACTGCTACAACATCCTCCAAGGAAATATATCTGAAAGGAATAGCAGGAGAGGATACAAAAAGCCCTCATCACAGTGAGAATGAATGCAGAGCCTCTTCCGAAGGACAAAGGTCCCCAACGGTCAGCCAGTCCAGAAGTGGTTCCCAGGAGGCTGAGGAGAGTATCCACCCAAACACCCAAGAAAAGTACAACTGTGCCACATCTCGCATCAACGAAGTTCAAGTCAACCTGTCCTTGTTAGGGGATGACCTGCTGCTTCCTGCTCAATCCACGCTTCAAACAAAGCATCCAGACATCTACTGCATTACAGACTTTGCGGAAGAATTAGCAGACACGGTCGTCTCCATGGCAACTGAAATTGCAGCGATTTGCCTTGACAACTCCAGTGGAAAACAACCCTGGTTTTGTGCATGGAAAAGAGGGAGTGAGTTTCTGATGACACCCAACGTACCCTGCCGATCCTTGAAGAGGAAGAAAGAGAGCCAGGGGAGCGGGACCGCTGTGAGGAAACACAAGCCTCCCCGGCTCAGTGAGATCAAGAGGAAGACGGACGAGCACCCTGAGCTTAAAGAAAAGCTGATGAACAGGGTTGTGGATGAGTCCATGAACCTTGAAGATGTCCCAGATTCTGTCAATCTTTTTGCCAATGAAGTGGCAGCCAAGATCATGAACCTAACGGAGTTCTCTATGGTGGACGGCATGTGGCAGGCGCAGGGCTATCCCCGGAATCGGTTACTGAGTGGCGACAGGTGGAGCCGGCTGAAGGCCTCCAGCTGCGAAAGCATTCCTGAGGAAGACTCCGAGGCCAGGGCCTATGTCAACAGCCTGGGCTTAATGAGCACGCTGAGCCAGCCGGTCAGCAGGGCCAGCTCTGTCTCCAAGCAGTCGAGCTGTGAGAGCATCACCGATGAGTTTTCCAGGTTCATGGTGAACCAGATGGAAAATGAAGGGAGAGGATTTGAGTTACTGCTGGATTACTATGCTGGCAAGAACGCCAGCAGCATTCTGAACTCAGCCATGCAACAGGCGTGCCGGAAAAGTGACCACCTCAGTGTGAGGCCTAGCTGTCCCTCTAAGCAGTCCAGCACAGAGAGCATCACTGAGGAGTTCTACAGGTACATGCTGAGGGACATCGAAAGAGACAGCAGAGAAAGTGCCTCCTCCAGACGGAGCAGCCAGGATTGGACAGCCGGCCTGCTGTCTCCTTCTCTGCGATCCCCAGTGTGCCACAGACAGTCGTCCATGCCAGACAGCAGATCCCCATGCTCCAGGCTGACAGTGAATGTGCCCATCAAAGCCAACTCTTTAGATGGCTTTGCTCAGAACTGCCCACAAGATTTCCTAAGCGTGCAGCCGGTCAGTAGCGCGTCCTCATCCGGTCTCTGCAAATCTGACTCTTGCTTGTATCGGAGAGGTGGGACTGACCACATCACCAACATGTTAATTCATGAAACGTGGGCTAGCTCCATTGAGGCTCTCATGCGCAAGAACAAAATCATTGTGGATGATGCAGAGGAAGCTGACACTGAGCCTGTTTCTGGTGGCTCTCCCTCGCAAGCAGAGAAGTGTGCAAATAGATTAGCTGCGAGCAGGATGTGCAGTGGGCCAACTCTGCTTGTTCAGGAGTCTCTCGATTGCCCGAGGAAAGACTCTGTTACCGAATGTAAACAGCCCCCAGTGTCATCTTTGAGCAAAACTGCTTCTCTTACAAACCACAGCCCTTTAGATTCTAAAAAAGAAACTTCCTCGTGCCAGGACCCTGTACCAATAAACCACAAAAGGCGATCACTTTGCTCGAGGGAAGTGCCTTTGATTCAGATTGAAACAGATCAGAGAGAAGCCTGTGCTGGGGAACCTGAACCCTTCCTTTCCAAAAGCAGCCTCCTAGAGGAAGCAGAAGGGCATTCGAATGACAAAAACATCCCAGATGTGGTGAGAGGTGGAGACACAGCCGTGAGCGCTTGTCAAATCCATAGGTGAGTGAATCGTCTCAGACTACATAGGGTGCATGTGACTGGAGTTTGCGTCTTAATCAGTGTTTAGTCTAAATTTTAGACATAAAGGATTTGATTGGTGCAAGAACTAAATTTTCAAGACCAAAAAAAAAAAAAATGAGTTAATGAGTGCAGCACACCAACATGGCACATGTATACATATGTAACAAACATGCACGTTGTGCACATGTGCCCTAAAATTTAAAGTGTAATAAAAAAAAAATGATCTCCTAGGTTAATATGCATTTATGATAGAGAGTTGAAAGTAAATCTCTTCTTAAAATCTCCAAAACTAACTAAACTCATCTATATAACCAAAGAAGTAAGATATCATTCCTCCCATTAAAATTAATCTCCTACGGTTTCCTACCTTTTAAAATTCATTCATGGCAATTTTTAAGCAAATAATAATATTAATAGTATATGATGCAATAATATTAATAATAAATGATGCAACTTATTCATTTGAAAACAGTCAAATAAATATTAGTTTTGGCATTTGACATTAAATATTTTGGCATCATTTTTCTCTCCTCTCATTTTTCTTCTCCATAGAGTCTCTCCTTTCAAGTTTTGCTTTCTGTTTTTGTTTTTTGTCTTTTTCTAAAGATCTTGCCAAGGACACTGTGTCCTAGAAGGGCTGCCCTTTAGATGCCTGGTATAATTCTAGCAGTGTAAATGCAAAGCAACACTGAAGTATTGTTATTTAAACAGCTTTTTCCAGAAAATTATGACATAGTTGACAATCCATTTTGAATTTGACGCAAGGTAATAATTTCTCTGAGGCTGCTTAAAGAACTCTCCATTCCTTTTACACCTTATATTTTCTGTAGAAAATTTATAAGATTCTTGAATATGAGACCATTGTATCATTTCTTTAGCTTTGGTTTGTAGTTAAACAAAACAGGATCTAGAACTAGAAATACCATTTGACCCAGCCATCCCATTACTGGGTATATACCCAAAGGACTATAAATCATGCTGCTATAAAGACACATGAACACGTATGTTTATTGCAGCACTATTCACAATAGCAAAGACTTGGAACCAACCCAAATGTCCAACAATGATAGACTGGATTAAGAAAATGTGGCACATATACACCATGGAATACTATGCAGCCATAAAAAAATGATGAGTTCATGTCCTTTGTAGGGACATGGATGAAATTGGAAATCATCATTCTCAGTAAACTATCGCAAGGACAAAAAACCAAACACTGCATGTTCTCACTCATAGGTGGGAATTAAACAATGAGAACACATGGACACAGGAAGGGGAACATCACACTCTGGGGACTGTTGTGGGGGAGGGGGGAGGGGGAGGGATAGCATTAGGAGATATACCTAATGCTAAATGACAAGTTAATGGGTGCAGCACACCAGCATGGCACGTGTATACATATGTAACTAACCTGCACTTTGTGCACATGTACCCTAAAACTTAAAGTATGATAATAATAATAAAATTAAATTTAAAAAACAGGAAAACAAAATAAAAAATTAAGCTACTGGGCTTGGAAAACCTAAGTTGGAGAAGTCTTTTCAGAGACATATGCCTATATTGTTTATTATTTACCAAGAGTGGCAGCCAACAAGTTGAACACAGCCTTCATCAAATTTCAGCAGCTTTCTGAAAATTCTTGATACTTTTCCACTTCCACCAGGGAAGGAGAAGGGATTCATCCTCAGGTACCAGTGCTCCCCATTAGAGGACATCATTACTGGTGTGGTTATGGTTGAGTGTATTTGGTACATAGTGTCTAGGTGGATTTAAATATTTCTTTTTTAGCCACTCAGTACTAAGAACTTAACTTTCCAATTGGATGAAATCCTGGAAGAATAAGGAGAAAGCATGAAAACGTAAAAGCAAAAGAACACAAAGCTAAATCAAATGAGGTAGGCAGAGCTAACCAAAAAGACACATTTTTATACATCAGTAGTTCTCCAGTTATAGACAATATTTATCAAAGCATTTTATCTAGGTCGTTTGGAGAATTACAAATTTTTTAAAGTGATCAGAGTTAAAAAAACAAATTAGCTCATGTGTAATTCTTTAGAATTCCCTTAACCTGAAATACAAGAAAATGGAAAACCCTTCTTAGAGAATCCAGATGCCTGACTTGGAGTCTTCTTTAACACAGATATCTTAAACCCAGCTAAGATTTTTAACCAAAGAGTGGCTAGTTAGGGAATGTTCATGAAATAGTAGTTCAACAAGATTTATGATTGTAGGCTGAGATCAAATAGCAATTGTCACTGAAGTTGAATAAAATTCATAATACAATTATGAATTAAATGTCACTGATATTATCCTTAAAATAGGTACAATTCAATGCTTTTTCCAAAATATACTGGAAATATGTATGAATAAAGTCCCCAAATGACTTAGGTTTGTATTACATAGAATGGCCCAAGAACACACCCTCTCAAATCATGATTTCTGGTTTGGTTTTCCACCAATAAAACAGGAAAGAATGTGGAGTCATCCACCCTAGAAATTCAAGACCTACATCTGCTTCCAAAACATAAGGACTAAATATTGAAAATGCTTTTCTTTGTGGAACAATATAAAGAATTATTAAAGAACATGGATTTCACTAACCTTGTAACTATGAGCAACTTCTCTGTTTACCAAGGTTTACTCACCTATAGGTAGGAATAATAATTATCTTATAAGAGGATCTTTAAGGTTTTAATAAGGAAATGCACATAAATCTCTCAACTCAGGGCCTCGCCTGTTGTAATAAATGCTTGCTTTTTGGTTGTTGTCATTGCTGTTTGGAGTTAGGGTATATGATTACCCTTATTCCAGGAAATTTTTTCCGAAAGAAGTATCTTAAAAGCTGGGCATGGTGGCTCACGCCTATAATCCAAGCACTTTGGGAGGCCGAGGCAGATGGATCACGAGGTCAGGAGTTCAAGACCAGCCTGGCCAAGGTGGTGAAACCCTGTCTCTACTAAAAATACAAAAATTAGCCAGGTGTGGTGGAGGGCACCTTCCCAGCTACTTGGGGGGCTGAGACAGAGAATTGCTTGAACCTGGGAGGTGGAGGTTGCAGTGAGCCGAGATCGTGCCTCTGCACTCCAGCCTGGGTGACGGGGCAAGACTCTGTCTCAAAAAAAAGAAAAAGGAATATCTTACAAACACTGTGAAGATTTTATTAAAACGAGGATTTCCAGGATTTGCTAGAGGGAAAATTAACCATATTTAGATTACATTTTCTAAGCTCAGAGATGTTATGGGATTTGATTAGTCAAATAGCTAAGTACAAAACTCACTTCTCTGTGAAACAGTTCTACTCCCTTATACACAAACAAGGTAAGTGGCATATGCACTCTTAATTTTGTTTGGAGATGGGGAGGTGTCATGTCCTGAAAATAATTTTAGGCTACTTTCTTTAGGCATGTTTTCATGATTCTTACTTTAAAAAAAGTTATTTACGCTCAATATACTGAAATAAAAATCACTTTCTTACTTTTTTGATAAAAGAATAACAACTTCAGAATTTATTGGACTTCTTGATAAGTTGAGACCACAAAGTATAAACAACAAACTGACAATTCTGAGCATTCACATGCTATACTTACTGACATAATCTTAAGTTTTAGAAACATATTTTAGGTGCTGTATCCATTTATATTTGCTTCAAGAAAAAAAATTATTCATCCAACAAATATTTGAGTGCTTATTCTGACAAGCAGTTGGCCTTGGGGCTGAAAACACAGAAGAAAATAGAAAGACTTGATATCTACTCTCATAGTTCTTACACACTAGTGGGAGAGACAGGGAGAGTACATAGGAAAACCTTTCAAAAAAATATTATTGTACAGTGTGATGAGAAAAAATAAAAAATAATGTGGTAGCAAATGACTGGTAGGGAAAGTGGCTACTTAGATAGGATGTTGGCATTGAGATGAGACCTAAACGAAGAGAAGGTGCCAGCCGTGAGAAGAACTAGAGTGAAAGACTTGCATTTTAAGCATTATGGTGATCTAGCCAGCCCGAAAAATGTTCCCACTATGAATCACCTAGAAATCCTGGATTAAGTATAATAAACATCCTTTTAGGTATGAAGCTGATCTTTTTTTTTAAAGGAAGACAAGCAAGGAAGACAAGCAAATAAGCTTTAGTGATCTATTGCCCAGAATGGTGAATGTAATAAATAACAATGCATTGTATATTTCTTTCTTTCTTTCTTTTTTTTTTTTTTTTTTTTTTTTTGAGGTAGAGTCTCTGTCACCCAGGCTGGAGTGCTGTGGTGCAACCATGGCTCACCGCAGCCCCAACCTCCAGGGCTCAAGCAATCCTTCCTTCTCAGCCTTTCAAGCAGCTGAGACTATAGGTGTGCACCACCATGCCTGCCCAATTTTTTAATTTTTTTGTGGAGATGGAGATGTCATTCTGTTGCCCAGGCTGGTCTCAGACTCCTGGGCTCAAGTGATCCTGCCACCTCAGCCTCCCAAAGTGCTGGTAGTACAGGTGTGAGCCACTGGGCCTGGCCTGTATATTTCAAAACTGTTAAAAGATTAGATATTAAATATTTTCACCACAACAAAATATAAGTATGTGAGGTGCTAGATTTTTTAATTAGCATGACTTAATCATTCCACAAAGTAAAACTATATGAAAACATCACAGTATACCCCGTATAATAGATACAATTACTGTCAATTAAAAAAATTGACAAGCAAGTGTGATATATTCCCCATGGATTTGGATGTTTGGTACCCCTGTCTAAAACAGCAGCCCCTAAGAACCCTTATCTGGAGAGATGGAAACAGAATGCTGTCTGCCATTTATGATTTACCCTCATTTCTATATTCTCAGGAATTATTTTATTTACCCTTATTTGCAAGGCTAATCTTAACAATAGTAATTATAGAAATTTCAGAGGTTAAAAAAGGAAAGAATTTGAAAAGGTAGTAAATTAAAGCTGACTCTGTGCTTGCCCTTGAGGGCATCTACCAGTCTCTGTAGCCTAAAAATTCATTTTCTAAAGGCTAGTGGAAACCAGGAAATGAGGGTCTGCGAATGGTGAAGACTTGGAACTGAGGCAGACTTCCACATCCTGAAGGGTTACAACCTCAGTAAAGGTGTGAACTATGGAAAAAGTTCACCCACCAGAAGAGTGAACTGATTAAAAAAAAAAAAAAAAGGCATCTTTGAGGGTTCAAGCTCTGGATACGAGGAGAAAACAATCCCCTTGAGAATTTATAACCACAGCTTACCCTAATGCATTTTTGTCATTCTAATTTGCATTATACTTGTGGTCCAGGAAATCCCAAGCTGGTAAGTTACCTTAAAGCAATCTCAGGTTAACAACCCTGTGAGAGCTTGGCAGAGACAAAAGTAAAATCTCTGGAGAGTTAAGCCCAGTCTTAAAGGATTTCAACAAATAAAGCCCCATCAAGTATAAGCTCAGAGTCTTAAACTGAAAGACACACAAGGAATCAAGGCACTGTAAGAAAGACTCAGCACAAACATGAAGAGGCAGAATTAGCCCTATCGAAGTTCTCAGACACTGGAATTATTAAATACAGAATGTAAAGTACTTATGTTTAATATTTGGAAAAAATGAGACATACAAAATAGGAGCAAGAAACAAACTACCATCAGAATAGAATAAGGTAGATATAAAAATCAATAAAATACTACCACAAAGACGAAAAGTATAATGAAATTAAAAACCACTAGATAGAAAAACGTATTAATTATTGAAATCAAAACCACAATGGCATACCTACAGAGAGAGCTTTAAAGATAAATGTGAAAGGTCTTCTGTTTCTACTCACAATGAAGTTATTGAAACTCAACTTGCCCTCCATCCGTGAACAATTGTTTTCTTTTGTTTTTGAGATGGAGTTTCGCTCTGTCACCCAGGCTAGAGTGCAGTGGTGCGATCTCGGCTCACTGCAATCTCTGCCTCCCAGCTGCAAGCGATTCTCCTGCCTCAGCCTCCCGAGTAGCTGGGACTACAGGCACATGCCACCACACCCAGCTAATTTTTCTTTCGTATTTTTAGTAGAGACGGGGTTTCACCATGTTGGCCAGGCTGGTCTTGAACTCCTGACCTCAGGTGATCCACCTGCCTCTGCCTCCCAAAATGCTGCGATTATAAGCATAAGCCACTGTGCCTGGCCCATCCATGAATAATTTTTTTAATGGTCAGAATTAAACAACTGATTTCATACATTGTACAACAAGCAGCACATTGAGCGAAGGGAAACAAACGTGATTAGCCCTATAATTGCCCTCACTTTGTATCTGGATTGCCTTTTCAGACAATAATGCCAAGAGGGAAATCCTGAGCAGAGTTCAGTGGGCACAATGAGGTGAGGAGACACAGACTAGAGGGAGATATGCAGAGAAAGAAGAGGAATCTGCACAGGAAGCCTCTTGACCTGTTGCTGGACACTGAGGCATGAATCTATAGGTACAGCCCCATGACGCTAGAGAATTGTAAGCTGGACAATGCCACAAGCTCGCATAGTACTGGAAGATGTTTAGTCCCAACTAGCCAGAGTGAAGAATCCATGTTACATACACACAGTACTTAGTAGAGACCCTAAAAACATCACATCATAGAATTAAAGCTAAACTAGCCCTAAAAATAAAGGCTAATCTACACTTGTTCTAACACAACTTAAAAGCAAGCATCAAAAATATCAAGCTGAACTGAAACTAATTTAACCTGGAATAAAGTTCAACATTGTTTAAAGAAAAGACAACAAAATCTAGTACTCAACAACATAAACTTGCAATGTAACATCCAAGCAAAAAATGCTACACAAAGAAGAAGAAAAATATCACTCATTATAAGGAGTATAATCATCAAAAGAAACATATCCAGAAATTACAGAGAAGATGAAATTAGCAGACAAGGACTTTGAACGAAGGGAAACAAACATGATAAAGAAATTAAATATCTCTTATAAATATGCCAAAAGATTTAAAGGTACACACGAATGTAAGACTTGATGAAAGTTATAAACTCACAAATTAAGAAATATAACTCTAAGCAGGATCAACAGAAAGAAAATCACATCAAGGCACATGATAATCAAATTATTAAAAGCAAATCATAAAGAAATTGTCTTAAAAGCAGCCCAGAGAAAAAGAAACATTATATACTAAGAAGCACAAATAAAACTGCAGATTTCTTATCAGAAACAATGTAAGATAAAAGACAAAGTATGACAACTATACTATGCTGAAGGAGAAAAAAACTGTCAGCCTAGTATACTTTATCCAGCAAAAATTCCTTCAAAAATAAAGGCTATTCGTTAATAGGAAGATTCAATATTTTCATGATGTCAGTTCTTCCCAGTTGAATCTATAGATTCATTACAATCCCAATCAAAATCCCAGCAAGTTATTTTGCAGATATCAACAAACTAATTCCAAAGTTTGTATGGAGACCAAAAGACCAAGAATATTGAACACAAGATTGAAGAGGAAGAACAAAGTTAGAGGATTGAGACTACCTGACATGATGATTTACTCTACAGCTATAGTAGTCAAGAGAGTGTGGTATTGGCAAAATCAAGCAATGGAACAGAATAGAGAGCCCAATAATAGACACCCACAAATAGAGTCAATGGATCTTTGACAAAGAAACAAAGGCAATATATTGAAGAGAAGATAGTCTCTTCAATAAACAGTACAGAAACAACTGGACATTTACATGCAAAAAAAAAAAAATGAATCCAGACACATTACACCATTTGAAAAAATAACACGAATGGATCACAGACCTAAATGTAAACACAAAGCTATATAACTCCTGGAATGGCTGGGAGCAGTGGCTTAAGCCTATAATCCCAGCACTTTGGGAGGCCAAGGTGGGTGGATCACCTGAGGTCAGGAGTTTGAGACCAGCCTGGCCAACATGGTGAAATGCTGTCTCTACTAAAAATACAAAAATTAGTTGGGTGTGATGGTGTGCCTATAATCCCAGCTACTTGGGAGGCTGAGACAGGAGAATCTCTTGAACCTGAGAGGTAGAGTTTGCAGTGAGCTGAGATTGCACCACTTCACTCCAGCCTGGGTGACAGAGCAAGACTCTCTCGCAGGAAAAAAAAAAAAAAAAACTCCTAGAAGATAATGTAGGAGAAAAATCTAGATGGATTGTGGGTATGGCAATGACATTTTTGATACACCAAAGGCACAATCTATAAAAGAAAGGCTTGATAAAATAGACTTTATTAAAATTAAAAACTTTTGCTCTGTGAAAGACACTGACAAGAGAATGAGAAGAGATAAGCCACAGATTGGGAGAAAATATTTCTAAAATACATATCTAATAAAGGACTATTACCTGAAATATACAAAGAACTCTTAAAACTCAACAACATAAAGATAAAAACTTTAAAAACTCATTTTTAAATCAGTTTAAGTCAAGGAGTTTTTCAGCTATGTTTTCTTCTAGTAGTTTTATACTTTTAGTCCTTACATTTAAGTATTTAATCCATTTTTAGTTGATTTTTATATAAGAGGTGAGAAAAGGGTCCATTTTTAGTCTTCTCTATGTGGCTATCCAGTTTTCCTACACCATTTATTGATGAGACTATCCTTTCTTCATTATGTGTTTTTGGCACCTTTGTCAAAAATCAGTTGATCATAGATATGTGGGTTTCTTTCTGGAATCTCTATCCTATTACACTGGTCAATGTGTCTGTTTTTATGCCATTGCCATCCTGTTTTAATTACTATTGCTTTGTAATATATTTTGAAATCAGGAAATTCTGTCATTTGTGACAACATGAATGAACCTAGAGGATGTTATGTTAAATGAGATACGCCAAGCACTGAGAGACAAATACAGTCTGATCTCACGTATGGAATCTTAAAAAGTCAAACTCATAGAAGGAGAGAGTAAAATGATGATTTCCAGAGGCTGGGGACTGGGGGAGGTGGACAGAGAAAGGAAAATTCTAGTCAATAGGTAAAAAGCTATAGTTAGACAGAACATGTTCTGGTGCTCTATTGCACAGAAAGGTGACTACAGTTAATAATAATGTATGATATATCTCAAAATAGCTAAAAGAGAAGGTTTTAAATGTTCTCATCAAAAATATAAATATTTGGCATGATGGATATTCTTATTACCCCAATTTAATCATTCCACAGTATATACATATATCAAATTATTGTATCGTACCCCATAAATGGATGTAATTATTATTTGTCCATTAAGGATAGTACAAAACTTGAAAAATGATCAAAAGCAGTTCCAAGATGGCTGAATAGGAACAGCTCCAGTCTGCAGTTCCCAGCGTGAGCGATGCAGAAGACAGATGATTTCTGCATTTCCAACTGAGCTTTGAAGAGAGTAGTGGTTCTCCCAGCATAGAGTTGGAGATATGAGAATGGACAGACTGCCTCCTCAAGTAGGTCCCTGACCCCCGAGTAGCCTATCTGGGAGGCATCCCGCAGTAGGGGAAGACTGACACCTCACACGGCTGAGTACCCCTCTGAGACGAAACCTCCAGAGGAACAATCAGACAGCAGCATTTGCTGTTCAGCAATATTCACTGTTCTGCAGCCTCCACTGCTATACCCAGGCAAACAGGGTCTGGAGTGGACCTCCAGCAAACTCCAACAGACCTGCAGCTGAGGGTCCTGACTGTTAAAAGGAAAACTAACAAACAGAAAAGACATCCACACCAAAACCCCATCTGTACATCACCATCATCAAAGACCAAAGGTAGATAAAACCACAGAGATGGGGAAAAGACAGAACAGAAAAACTGAAAATTCTAAAAATCAGAGCGCCTCTCCTCCTCCAAAGGAACGCACCTCCTCACCAGCAACAGAACAAAGCTGGACGGAGAATGACTTTGACGAGATGAGAGAAGAAGGCTTCAGACGATCAAACTTCTCCGAGCTAAAGGAGGAAGTTTGAAACCATGGCAAAGAAGTTAAAAACCTTGAAAAAAGATTAGACAAAAGGCTAACTAGAAAAACCAATGCAGAAAAGTCCTTAAAGGACCTGATGAAGCTGAAAACCGTGGCACGAGAATTACATGATGAATGCACAAGCTTCAGTAGCCGATTCGATCAACTGGAAGAAAGGGTATCAGTGACTGAAGATCAAATGAATGAAATGAAGCAAGAAGAGAAATTTAGAGAAAAAAGAATAAAGAGAAATGAACAAAGCCTCCAAAAAATATGGGACTGTGTGAAAAGAACAAATCTACATCGGATTGGTGTACCTGAAAGTGATGGGGAGAATGGAACCGACTTGGAAAACACTCTGCAGAATATTATCCAGGAGAACTTCCCCAACCTAGCAAGGCAGGCCAACATTCAAATTCAGGAAATACAGAGAACGCCACAAAGATACTCCTCGAGAAGAGCAACTCCAAGACACATAATTGTCACATTCATCAAAGAAGAAATGAAGGAAAAAATGTTAAGGGCAGCCAAAGAGAAAGGTCGGGTTACCCACAAAAGGAAGCCCATCAGACTAACAGCTGATCTCTAGGCAGAAACTCTACAGAGTGGGGGCCAATATTCAACATTCTTAAAGAAAAGAATTTTCAACCCAGAATTTCATATCCAGCCAAACTAAGCTTCATAAGTGAAGGAGAAATAAAATACTTTACAGACAAGCAAATGCTGAGAGATTGTGTCACCACCAGGCCTGCCCTACAAGAGCTCCTGAAGGAAGCACTAAACATGGAAAGGAACAACTGGTACCAGCCACTGCAAAAACATGCCAAATTGTAAAGACCATCAATGCTAGGAATAAACTGCATCAACTAACGAGCAAAACAACCAGCTAACATCATAAAGACATGATCAAAATCCCACATAACAATATTAACCTTAAATGTAAATGGGCTAAATGCTCCAATTAAAAGACACAGACTGGCAAATTGGATAAAGAGTCAAGACCCATCAGTGTGCTGTATTCAGGAAACCCATCTCACATGCAGAGACACATAGGCTCAAAATAAAGGAATGGAGGAAGATCTACCAAGCAAATGGAAAACAAAAAAAGGCAGGGGTTACAATCCTAGTCTCTGATAAAACAGACTTTAAACCAACAAAGATCAAAAGAGACGAAGGCCATTACATAATGGTAAAGGGATCAATTCAACAAGAAGAGCTAACTATCCTAAATATATATGCAACCAATACAGGAGCACCCAGATTCATAAAGCAAGTCCTTAGAGACCTACAGGCAGTCTTAGACACCCATACAATAATAGTGGGAGACTTTAACACCCCACTGTCAACATTAGACAGATCAACGAGACAGAAAGTTAACAAGGATATCCAGGAATTGAATACAGCTCTGCACCAAGTGGACCTAATAGACATCTAGAGAACTCTCCACCCCAAATCAACAGAATATACATTCTTCTCAGAACCACACCGCATCTATTCCAAAATTCACATAGTTGGAAGTAAAGCACTCCTCAGCAAATGTAAAAGAACAGAAATTATAACAAACTGTCTCTCAGAGCAAATTGCAATCAAACTAGAACTCAGGATTAAGAAACTCACTCAAAACCAATCAACTACATGGAAACTGAACAACGTGCTACTGAATGACTACTGGGTACATAACAAAATGAAGGCAGAAATAAAGATGTTCTTTGAAACCAACGAGAACAAAGACACAACATACCAGAATCTCTGGGACAGATTTAAAGCAGTGTGTAGAGGAAAATTTATACCACTAAATGCCCACAAGAGAAAGCACGAAAGACCTAAAATTGACACCCTAACATCACAATTAAAAGAACTAGAGAAGCAAGAGCAAACACATGCAAAAGATAGCAGAAGGCAAGAAATAACTAAGATCAGAGCAGAACTGAAGGAGATAGAGACACAAAAAACCCTTCATAAAATCAATGAATCCAGGAGCTGATTTTTTGAAAAGATCAACAAAATTGATAGACCGCTAGCAAGACTAATAAAGAACAGAGAAGAATCGAATAGACATAATAAAAAATGATAAAGGGGATATCACCACCCATCCCACAGAAATGCAAACTACCATCAGAGAATACTATAAACACCTCTACGCAAATAAACTAGAAAATCTAGAAGAAACGGATAAATTCCTCAACACATACACCCTCTCAAGACTAAACCAGGAAGAAGTTGAATCTCTGAATAGACCAATAACAGGCTCTGAAATTGAGGCAATAATTAATAGCCTACCAACCAAAAAAAGCCCAGGACCAGATGGATTCACAGCCGAATTCTACCAGAGGTACAAGGAGGAGCTGGTACCAATCTTTTTGAAACTATTCCAATCAATTGAAAAAGAGGGCATCCTCCCTAACTCATTTTATGAGGCCAGCATCATCCTGATACCAAAGCCTGGCAGAGACATAATGAAAAAAGAGAATTTTAGACCAATATCCCTGATGAACATCGATGCAAAAGTCCTCACTAAAATACTGGCAAACCAAATCCAGCAGCACATCAAAAAGCTTATCACCATGATCAAGTGGGCTTCATCCCTGGGATGCAAGGCTGGTTCAACATACGCAAATCAATAAATGTAATCAGGTATGTAAACAGAACCAAAGACAAAAACCACATGATTATCTCAAAAATGCAGAAAAGTCCTTTGACAAAATTCAAGAGCCCTTCATGCTAAAAACTCTCAATAAATTAGGTATTGATGGGATGTATCTAAAAATAATAAGGGCTATTTATGACAAACTCACAGCCAATATCATACTGAATGGGCAAAAACTGGAAGTATTCCCTTTGAAAACTGGCACAAGACAGGGATGCCCTTTCTCACCACTCCTATCCAACATAGTTTTGGAAGTTCTGGACAGGGCAATCGGGCAGGGGAAAGAAATAAAGGTATTCAATTAGGAAAAGAGGAAGTCAAATTGTCCCTGTTTGCAGATGACATGATTGTGTATTTAGAAAACCCCATCGTTTCAGCTCAAAATCTCCTTAAGCTGATAAGCAACTTCAGCAAAGTCTCAGGATACAAAATCAATGTGCAAAAATCACAAGCATTCTTATACACCAATAACAGACAAACAGCCAAATCATGAGTGAACTCCCATTCACAATTGCTTCAAAGAGAATAAAATACCTAGGAATCCAACTTACAAGGGATGTGAAGGACCTCTTCAAGGAGAACTACAAACCACTGCTCAACGAAATAAAAGAGGACACAAACAAATGGAAGAACATTCCATGCTCATAGGTAGGAAGAATCAATGTCGTGAAAATAGCCATACTGCCCAAGGTAATTTATAGATTCAATGCCATCCCCATCAAGCTACCAATGACTTTCTTCACAGATTGGAAAAAACTACTTTAAAGTTCACATGGAACCAAAAAAGAGCCCGCATTGCCAAGTCAATCCTAAGCCAAAAGAACAAAGCTGGAGGCATCACGCTGCCTGACTTCAAACTATACTACAAGGCTACAGTAACCAAAACAGCATGGTACTGGTACCAAAACAGAGGTATAGACGAATGGAACAGAACAGAGCCCTCAGAAATAATACCACACATCTACAACCATCTGATCTTTAACAAACCTGATGAAAACAAGAAATGGGGAAAGGATTCCCTATTTAACAAATGGTGCTGGGAAAACTGGCTAGCCATATGTAGAAAGCTGAAACTGGATCCCTTCCTTACACCTTATACAAAAATTAATTCAAGATGGATTAAAGACTTACATGTTAGACCTAAAACCATAGAAACCCTAGAAGAAAACCTAGGCAATACCATTCAGGACATAGGCATGGGCAAGGACTTCATGTCTAAAACACCAAAAGCAATGGCAACAGAAGCCAACATAGACAAATGGGATCTAATTAAACTAAAGAGCTTCTGCACAGCAAAAGAAACTACCATCAGAGTGAACAGGCAACCTACAAAATGGGAGAAAATTTTTGCAATCTACTCATCTGACAAAGGGCTAATATCCAGAATCTACAAAGAACACAAACAAATTTACAGGAAAAAAAACAACCTCATCAAAAAGTGGGTGAAGGAGATGAGCAGACACTTCTCAAAAGAAGACATTTATGCAGCCAACAGACACGTGAAAAAATGCTTATCATCACTGGCCATCAGAGAAATGCAAATCAAAACCACAATGAGATATCATCTCACAGCAGTTAGAATGGCAATCATTAAAAAGTCAGGAAACAACAGGTGCTGGAGAGGATGTGGAGAAACAGGAACACTTTTACACTGTTGGTGGGACTGTAAACTAGTTCAACCATTGTGGAAGTCAGTGTGGCGATTCCTCAGGGATCTAGAACTAGAAATACCATTTGACCCAGCCATCCCATTACTGGGTATATACCCAAAGGATTATAAATCATGCTGCTATAAAAACACATGCACACGTATGTTTATTGTGGCACTACTCACAATAGCAAAGACTTGGAACCAATCCAAATATCCAACAATGATAGACTGGATTAAGAAAATGTGGCACATATACACTATGGAATACTATGCAGCCATAAAAAATGAAGAGTTCATGTCCTTTGTAGGGACATGGATGAAGCTGGAAACCATCATTCTCAGCAAACTATTGCAAGGAAAAAAAACCAAACACTTCACGTTCTCACTCATAGGTGGGAATTGAACAATGAGAACACATGGACACAGGAAGGGGAACATCACACACCAGGGCCTGTTGTGGGCTGCGGGGAGCGGGGAGGGATAGCATTAGGAGATATACCTAATGTAAATGACGAGTTAATGGGTGCAGCACACCAACATGGCACATGTATACATATGTAACAAACCTGCACATTGTGCACATGTACCCTAGAACTTAAAGTATAATAAATATATATGTGTGTATATATATTTTTATATATATGTATATTTTTATATATATGTATATATATTCTTATATATACGTATATATACTTATATATACGTATATATATTTTTATATATACGTATATATTCGTATATATACATATATATATTTATATATGTATATATTTATATATATTTATGTATATATATTTATATATGTGTATATATATTTATGTGTGTATATATTTATATATGTGTATATATATTTATATATGTATATATATTTATATATGTATAGATATATTTATATGTATAGATATATGTATAGATATATTTATATATGTGTGTGTGTGTGTATATATATATATATATATGTTTATATAAAAGAAAAATGATCAAAAGGCCTGAAGAGACACTTCACCAAAGAACATGTATGGATAGCATATAAGCATATAAAAAGATGTTCAACATTATGTCATTATGGACTTGCAAATCAAAACAATCAGATACCACCACATACATATTAGAATCCCAAAATTCAAAATACTGACAAAACCAGATGCTGGCAAAGATGTGGAGCAACAGAAACTCATTCATTACTGATTGGAATACAGAATGGAGCAGCCACTTTTGAAGACATTTGGGGAGTGTTTTACAAAACTAAAGATACTCTTACCATACGACCCAGCAATCCTGTTCCTTGGTATTTACCCAAACACGTTGAAAACTTATGCCCATATAAAAACCTGCACACAGATGTTTATACTAGCTTTAGTTAGAATTGCCAAAACTTAGAAGCAACAGGGGATTCTTCAGTAGGTAAATGGATAAATTGTGGTACATCCAAACAATAGAATTTTATTCAGCACTAACAAAAAAGAACTGTCAAGCCATGAAAAGATACAGAGGAACCTTAAGTGCATATTATTAAATGTTGTCAATCTTTTATGTATTTTATTTTATTTTATTTTTATTATTATTATTTTTTTTAGATGGAGTCTTACTGTCTCCCAGGCTGGAGTGCAGTGGCGCCATCTTGGCTCACTGCAACCTCCACCTCATGGGTTCAAGCGATTCTCCTGCCTCAGCCTCCCGAGTAGCTGGGACTACAGGCGCCCACCACCATGCCCGGCTAATTTTTTGTATATTTAGTAGAGATGGGGTTTCACCATGTTAGCCACGATGGTCTCCATCTCCTGACCTCGTGATCCACCCACCTTGGCCTCCCAAAGTGCTGGGATTACAGACGTGAGCCACCGTGCCCGGCCGACTAATTTTTGTATTTTTAGTAGAGACAGTGTTTCACCATGTTGGCTAGGCTGGTCTTGAACTCCTGACCTCAGGTGATCCACCCGCCTTGGCCTCCCAAAGTGCTGGGATTACAGGCGTGAGCCACCGCTCCTGGCCAAACGTTGCCAATCTTAAGACGCTACATGCTATATGATTCCAACTATATGACAGTCTCAAGAAAGGCAAAACTATGGAGACAATAAAAAGATCAGTGGTTGTCAGAGGTTAGAGGGCAGGAGGGTTGAACAGGTAGAGCACAGAGGATTTTTAGGGCAGTGAACTTATACTGTATGATATTAGTCATTATACATTTGTCAAAGCCTATATAGAACATGCAACATCAAGAGTGAACCCTAATGGAAATTACAGGCTAGATGGTCTCTAAAATCTCTGCCAACTGAGAGATTAGATTCTATGATGGAATTTGATATGACATAGTCTTCTGAATCTCTGTGGATGACATGTAAGATAAGAAGGGGGAAGCCATCTGCATGCATCTGCACAACACCTCTGTGCATTATTCATAAATAAATGAGCAGAACTGTAAATTTCAATTTCTCTCAAAATGAAAACTAGTGTTGTGGATAATGATTATTCATTCTGAACTCCTAGTTATGTGACATGGAATGTGAGATTTACTTTAAATAGAGCATGAAGTTGAGATAAAGTAAAATACACTGACAGACTCATTTTTTAATAAGGATGTTGGATGTCAATCACTGAGATTTAACTTCTTTAGTAAGAAATAGCCTGGAATAAATGTTTCTAATAACATGAGATTCTAACTTAATAAGAAATTGGTCCAGGAAATGACTTTTTACCTAGGCAAGTGAATGGTTTGGGAATCTTCTCCTTTGTATCTGGTTCTTGGCTCATTTGCACTGTGTTGGGGATATATGTATTATTTCCATTTGTCATCAATGAACTTTTTTTTCATTTGAATTTAAGTCCATGCTGCCTCTTTGGCTGCACCATTCTCCTCCTTCCTCCCTACATGATTTGGAAAAATCTCAATATTTCAACAAGAAAAACCAAGCAAGGACCTTCTTTCACAAAGTGTTAGCAGCATAGCATACTGGAAATAACCACACCTCAATGCCAAACCTACCCAGAACACTGTGAGAAGGACTGTCAGGATCAAGCATCCAAAGCCTTTTGTAAAATTCCTTAGGTGACAAGTTCACACATCAAAAAGGAGATTTTTAATCACACTCAAAAAGTTATGCATTTGAAACTCTGCTCTCTATATGAGAACTTTTTTAAATTTTTAAAATATAACCATTCTCAGAGAACGGATAACAGTACTAATTCTAAGATTGAGGAAAATTACATAGACCTTTCTGCAGCCAATATTTTACTTTAAATGAAAGAGGCCACCTGTCTTAGGTTGTATTCCCTGGGAACAGACTCTGAGAGGGAGAGCTGCAGGCAGATAATTTGTCAGGGAGTTCTCTGCAGAAATATATGCATACCCATGTAAGGAAGTGGGAAAGGCAGGATTGGCCAAGAGGAGAGGTCCTTCCCAAGTGTGTCTGCAACTGAGGCCTCGGCACATCCTGCAGGAAACCCGGAAGATGGGATGGTCTGTCAGTTTTGATGCAAATGGAAGCAAGGAGTGGGATTTTGTATCTCTATGTTAGCCAGACATTAGGATCCTCACCGGGAAAGGGTCTAACCTTGGCAAGGCAATTCCTTCACTGAGGGTAATTCCCAGTGTGTACAGTCAGCAGCCTGTATTCTCCACAGTCAGGGTACCATGGCCTGAAGTAAAACAATCCAGCATCTACTAGATCAAGTGACTGTTTTTACTGTCAATAGCAAAATATGCTGTTGCTTTTTGTTTGTAGTCATTTATGTCTGTTAATGTCAAAAACATAAATACTGTTAGTTTTTGATGACCTTGTAAGTAGTCTGCAGACAAATTTCCATGAACACGTTTACATTTCTGTACATCAGAGTTTCCTGAGCAAAGGGCACTCATACCTGAATTAAAGGGTGATTGAATATTAACCCTAAAGGCCGGGCGCAGTGGCTCATGCCTGTAATCCCAGCACTTTGGGAGGCCCAGGAGTGCAGGTCACTTGAGTTCGAGACCAGCCCAGCCAACATGGCAAATCCTATCTCTACTAAAAATAAAAAAATTAGCCAGGCATGGTGACACATGCCTGTAATCCCAGCTACTTGGGAGGCCGAGGCAGGGGAGTTGCTTATATCTGGGAGACGGAGGTTGCAGTGAGCTGAGATCATGCTACTGCACTTCAGCCTGGGCATCAAAGCAAGACTTTGTCTCAAACAAACAAACAAACAAACAAAAAACTACCAGCTTGCAAGTAGTGCCACATCTCAGATCTTTCACAGTTTACAACTTAACAAGTGGAGCTCTCTAGACTAAGAGTGTGGCTCTGCTTATGAAACTAGACACTTTTAGCAATAACATATTCATCTGAAGAATAGTTTATGTGTTCACAGCTCTGTTCTTAAAATACAAACAAGTGCAAACACTCTTAATAACGAATATTATATACACAAATAACTATATGTACTAGAATGTGACTCAGGAAGCCTTCCATTTCACCAAAAAGAAAGAAAAATAGATTGCTTCAACCATTCAAGGGAGAGAGCTCCAGCTAAAAAGATTAAGAAAGGCCTTGGGGAGGTGGGAGTGTCTTGGCTGAGGCTTGAGGGGTAGTGAGAAGCAAAGATCAAAACAGCGTGTTATTAGACGTGATTCTTAACAAAAGCATGTTATTAGACTTAATGAATTATATAATTTATTAATAAAGAAGAATACTTATTGGATACTTATATACAGGCACTAAGCTAAATGCATTAAATGATTTTTTTTCTAATTTATGTCTTCCAAAAACCTTTATGAGATGTTGTTACTTTTCTTGGAGAGATTTATTAACTTAAGTTGAACAGGTGACAAGTCGTGGAACAGGAATCTACAGCAGTTGGATGGCAGAATGTATGCTCGAAGCACACACTTCTCCACCATTTGGTCAGAAGACTCAACTAGGCAAAGGCTGGGAGGCAAGAAATCCCTGCAGTTTTGAAAAACAGTAGATAGTTTTGTTTGTTAAATAGTGATTAGGGTTGAGGCACATGAAACTTGATAAGCAGGGGGAGCCCACAACGGATAGAGTTTGGCTTCAGGAAGTTCCTGAAGGCTCCTGACAAGAGCAACCAACAATATGCTTTAGGTACTTTAATCTGGCACCAGGGTTAAGAAGGTTTTGAAAGTGGATGACTAGTTGAAGCACAACCGTTGGAAGGCTGGTGCACTATAGTCCAGGCAAGCACACAAGGTCTAAATGTCTAGTACCAACTCCTGTTTCAGGATAAGCCCTCCAATCTCACTGGGCTTCTGGATCTTCATCTACAGGAAATCTTCCTTCCAAATCTGGAATTATAGCAATTTAGAAAGACAAATTAAAGTATGTTGGTGTAACAGTAATTGAGGGTTTTGCCATTAAAAGTAATTGTGAAAGCTTTTGAGTTGGAACTGAATGAACAAAGAAATTTATTGAATGTAAAGGGCAAAGAGGAGAAATTGGAAGACTGCAAGATTTTAAGCCTAGGCACACAGAAAAGTCAATGGAAATAAGAAGCCCAGGAAGAGGGTGGGAAGGCAATTAGAATTCGTTTTAGATGTATTGATTTTGAGATGTTAATGAGATATGCAGAAGACCCGCTTGTAAAGGAGCCCAGAATCCAGAAGAAGGGTCCTGGCTGGGATCCAGACTTGGAAGCTATTTTCACAGACAGGCAAGTGGATGAGATTGCTTAGGAACCGACTGTGGAAAGGAGGACAGGAAATCAATCAGAGCCAGCTATAGCTACACTTAAAGGAAAAACAGACAACTGGGTTCCAGGCAAGAAGGGACCAGAGAGACAGAAATTCACAGGAGGCCAGGGAGGAGAAGCTTCAAGAACAAAGGCCTGTCAGATCAAGGGTTAAATGCTCTGGAGAGCTCCTTGGTCTAAAAATGCAAGTGCTCATCCAGAAGAGTGGTGCTGATATAAATCAGGGGTTTCAGAGGGAGGAGATAGGGTAAAATACAGCACAAAATATAGTGCAAGTGCAAAATACAGAGGCATGCATATCAAAATATAGAGGCGTCTTGCTTTTTACCAAGTCAGTGCAAAATGACTTGGTAAAAAGCACCAGAAACGGGGTAGGTATTTTTCTAATGATCCTCTTGCATTAGAATCAACCAGGAGTGATTGATAAAAATGCAGATTTGTGGACCTCCTTCCAGAAACACTGAATCATAATCTCTCGGGTGAATGCTTTGTGTATCTTCTTTTTAAACATCATTGTCCCTCAATAATTCTTTTGTGTGTAGGCCAGGCTACATACATTCAACCTGTTTTTCAAATGATTGGAGGGAGTCAGTAGAAAGAGATTAATAGAAGAGATGGAAAAGCTGGCTGATGGGGAGTAATCCTGAAAAGGCAAATGGGACCTAGGGCACCAGCAGAAGGATCAGCCCAGGGAGACTCTGCCTGTGTCCAGTGACATCCTGTTTATTGGGACTCTACAAAGTGGCTCTGTGAAGTTTCTGTGTGTGTGTGTGTGTGCTGCCTCTCTTGGTAATAATATCTTGCCCTCTACAGTGACAGCCTTGATACCAGAGATGTACCAGAGGCTGAAGCCTCCACAGAAGCCAGAGCCCCCGATGAGGCCCCCAACCCTCCAAGCAGCAGCGAGGAGAGCACAGGCAGCTGGACCCAGCTTGCCAATGAGGAAGACAACCCAGATGACACAAGTAGCTTTCTCCAGCTCAGTGAGCGATCCATGAGGTACCTGCTCTTCCCTTGAATTCCCAGGGAAATTGGTCTCAACACAGATTCTAAAAATGCATTTTAATGGTTCTCTGCAAAGGGTCCCTAATAAAGAGAGAAGGAGAGAACAAAAAAAGGAAAGTTCCCACTATGTCGAGGGGCCTGCCTGTCATGATTTGTGCTGAGAGGTATCTTAATATCCAGTTATGGCTTAAATTACTTTGGCCGTGATTAAGAATGAGCTGTGTTCCCTTCCCTGCAAGCCCCAGCTAGAACATTCAATGATGACAACTGTAAATGTTTTTAAATGGTGAGCTGCTTTTACACCTGGTGTGTTTGATACTCTGTCTCTGGTTCATTTGTATTTCAGATGCAACACAGGCTGGGTTTACACGAGGCAAGTGTTTCCACACTGTGTTGTATTGTTTGGCCTGACTGTTCCTCCCTCTATCTCCCCTGCCCTCTGTATTGTTCCTCCCAAAAAGCTAGAGAGGAGATTAAGAGACATCAGATTTGGAAGGGCTCAAGCCAGTCAGGAGACATTAACTAAAATCTATTCCTTGCTGAGGTGGAACCTCTAAAAGACTCCCTGTGTTTCTGCCCAAAATCTCATTTGATACTGAACCACAAACTTTGCACAGAGGCCAAATGGAAAATGGGATCAGCATCTGGGTGTATGTATGACTCTTGGAAAGTTTTATTTCTGGGAGTTTAGTCTGTTTAGACTTAACATTTCACAATGTTAAAGAGTTTGTCAAAACTTCTAAAACTAGCGGAAAGTATTACAAGATAGAAACAAAAAGCAAAGAGAACTCGAATCTTTGGACTCAACAATAAGGTTTATAGGGTTGATTATCTCCAGTGCAATTTTGAGCCATCAGGTTTCAATACATGAATATGCCTGGTGCCCCCCTCAAAAGCTAAGACAAGAATTTAAATTCGAGGGCATCCAGTTGATATTTTCTACTTTTAGAGTACCATCTACTCTTGGTATATCCAGGAGAAAGCCGTCCCACTACACGACGCACCACCACTCACCCTTTGGAAGACTTGCTTGAAAGAGACATCACTGGAAACAGAGAAGGTGTGAGGAGACTGAGTGGTTTGGTAAAATTGGATATATTTCATTTCACAAGCACAAACAGAGCCTAAAAATTGGCTCAACTTTGCTGTGTTTCAGTCAGTAAGTTCCAGGCTAGTAACTAGACCATATGTTGACTGTGCAGCCTATGAACATGATGCAATCTGTGGTCCTCCCTCTCTACAGTAAAAAAGGTACCAGGTGTTGCTCTTTCTTGAAGATTGTAAGATAAAGGAGTGATAAAACATTGACATTGCCCAGCTTTGTACTTATGGTTCTGTAGTCTCATGGGAAAATAGCAAGCCAGATGCTCAGCCTATGAAATCCTATGGAATGTCCCTGAGAAAATCCCCCAAATGTCAAAGGGAGAACATGAGTCCACTGGTTTCTGTCAAAACTGGTTCCTGCCAGCCCATGTTTTCAGAAGTTCCTTCATCTCTGCAGGTGTCCCCAGCAGCAAGAAATCTCTTGCCGATAGATAAATACCTTCACCGTAACTAGAATGAAGAAAAGAGGCAGACTGATTGTTACCCCCTAGGTGTGATCTACCAGTTGTGATACCACTTCAGAAAGTGGTATCACAACTTATTATTATTCACAAATTATTAGTAGTATTATTATTATCTGCTGAGCTGGTTAGGCCTATGTCTCATTATGATTTCTCTTAATTTGTTCAGAAATAAATATGAATTGAGGTGTCCTAGGCACAAAGCGATATTTTTCTGGGGACCAAAGGAAGGAGCTTGTACAACAATGGAACATCACTGTCAGCAGCATGTTAGAGGGTGGAGACGGGCATTAATATGTAAACTTTTGCTTTGTCAGCAATGGCAACAGTAGTGCCACTAGCAGTCTTGGCATTATGGATCTGGACATTTATCAGGAAAGCATGCCATCTTCTCCCATGATTAAGTAAGTAGCCACTGAGATGCAGTGATTGTGAGACCACTACTCCAATTCCATCTGGCAATCCATTTTGATCATTCAGGTTGTGCCCAACCACTGACCTCATCATGTCTGTACTGCTGTGGTTCCATGTCACTGGAGGAAGAATTCAAGCCTAGAATAGGCCCTGCCCTACCACCACCTGCTTTCTGGGTTTCAAATCTGCCCCCTGTGAAATAATCATTTCAGATAAAACTTATCAATATAATCTGAAGTGTATGTCATTTTACCTACCTAGAAACAGAAGCAAGAACCCATTTAAATTATACCATGCCATCTAAAGAGGACTACTCAATAGTCTTCACTATAAAACATAATCATTTCAATAAAATCAAATGTGAATGGCTTTTCCTTTACATGTAGAAACCTGGGATTATCACTACTAAATGTGTCTAATATTACATGGTTGTCATGATGGATATGTGTCATTCCCACCCCGTGACTATGCTCTCCACAATATGGGGACTTCCTTAAGAAGGAAAAAAGGACTTAGAGAAGGACAGGTACTTTTAGGAAGTACATACATCCTAAAATATGGCGCAAAAAGAGAGGGCAGCATGAGGTCGGGACTACTTCTAGAATATGTGGTTATTCTGGAAAATTAAAATGATTGAAATCTATTTTTGACCATTGTGATTTAGCTTATGATTTGGAGATTTCTGAAATTTCAGAGCAATGATAAATAAGTATAGGCTAAAGTTGTTCCCTGACCTATTTTCTCAATCACTATCTATAACTACAGCACTTTTATTTCACCATTTAACTAGTTGTGCTCCTCAGTGATTGAGGGTGACAGTGGTTCCTTTGTGGCTCCACACAGCCATTATTCACAAGTAGAGATGAGCATACACATTATCTTGTTTTTTTGTTTTGTTTTGTTTTCTTTTCTTTTGTTTTAAGGAGAAACCAAAAACCAAAACAAACAAAAACTACCTTGGGGTAAATTTATTTTTCTCTTTCAGGAAACATTTATTTAGCTACTTTTCCCAACTTTCTCTGCAATATGAGCCTATGACCCTACAACCCCAGGGAAAATCTGTATTCTGAGGAAGCCAAGCAATCACCTCCATGGTCAGCATCCTGCAGCTCCAAAACAGCAGAAACTGTGCCTCCCATTTGTCATACCCCCTATGTCACTTGCATAGAGATCTAGAAGAAAATCTAGATCCTTGAAAAATTAGCATTTCTGCAAATAAATAAGTATGAATGAAAGAATTACTATACTCTTTCTCTCAACATCAGGAACACAATGGAATTTTTCAGCCATATCTTAGCAGTAGCAGAATGAGAGAATCATCTATCGTCAAACAACACATTTTTGAGGGCTCCTGTACTCTAATTTCTAGACACGACAAAAATATAGGACAACCACAGGCTTCCCAGGATAGCCACTTCCTTTCAGCTGCTGGCCATATGTTCTTACTTTAGAAACATTTACCAAGTCCTCCCACTACATGCAAGGTTCTGTAATAAGTACACACCATATGAAAACACCTCCAATATTAAACTCTACCATATCTAATGAAATACTTCAGTTATGAGTCCCTCATTCTAAACCACCCAGCCTGCTACACTTCCCCAATAAGAAGAAAGAAAAAGAAAAACTTTAATTGTGATATTTTGCTGTCAAATTTAAGTTCTGCAGTTTGTTGGTTGTCTTTTTTCTTATTTCAGATCAAATAACCATATACATGTAAAATTATTTTTTAAATAAAATAAAAGCTATGTTGCTATTGTAGTATAGAAAAAAAATTGTGACAAGATGGGAACATATGATTCATTAAGATGAAAGTAAAATGCAAAAGAATAAATCTCCAAATCAGAACTAGTTACCCACAAAATCTCTCTTTCATTGTTTAAACCTATGAAAGTTTATGGTAAGGAGGTTGAAGAGAAGGTTGCATCTCTCAGTCTCCCACACCAGCTATCCTAACTAAAGTAACTTGAGTTATCTGGCCTGTTGTTGTTGTTGGAGGAGGACATTTATTGCAGACCCAGTGATCTTACATAATAGCCACATTGGTGTTTTCCCAGCATTACTCTACTCTACAAAAACAATAAATCCAGAATGAACTTCAGAAGCTTTTAGATCAGTAAGACCCATCGCCTCATCTTTCATTTACAGCTTATTCTTCTAAACATTACCAACCATATACTGTTGTTTTCTCCCAAAGTGAATTAGTAGAAGAAAAGAAGATTCTTAAAGGACAGTCAGAAAGCACAGAGGGTAAGCCACCTTCCCATACTTTTGACACACAATTGCCTGGGCTGTCCCTTTGGAAAGAAGGATAAGGCTGTGGTTGTGTCTGTTCTCAGCACCTGCATCTGGACCGCCTACGGGAACAGCCAGCCCCCAGAGGAGCCTGCTGGTGATCAACTTTGACCTGGAGCCAGAGTGTCCAGATGCCGAGCTCCGAGCCACTCTGCAGTGGATAGCTGCCTCTGAACTGGGGATTCCCACCATCTACTTTAAGAAATCTCAGGAAAACAGAATTGAAAAGGTATCATGTACCAGGTTTGGAAAACAAGAAAGCTTTGTGTTTTCATCACCACTGGAAACTCAGTAAATGCTCAGTAAACCCCTGTCCATTTGAATTATTTGATCCTGACTGTTCTTGATCTTAAAATTGCGGCTAGAACATTGAAATCTTCCACCTGTGTAAATATAATATACTTAGCGTTTCTTTGATCCTTACTTTGTCTTGGCTAGTAGGTGGTAGTGAGAAAAGTAAATTGAGGGGATGGGAACTTTTTTAGAGTCTGTTATTTTTTTGGTGTTTTCTTGCTCTGGGACAAACTTCTTGATAGTGATCCTTTAAATAAAAGAAAGAAAGAAGAACCTGATATATAACAGAAACCAAAGTGAGGCCACACTGACATCTAAAACAGGCCAAGAGAAGGCATTTTTAATTCCCTTCCAAACAGGTTCGTGTTAGGAAGACTTTTTATTTATTATTCTCCACCTACCAGAAATATAAAGCTAGGGAAGAGATCCTTGGCCAACATCAAAATTAATAGTAACTATCACTCTAATTCTATATCTCTAAGACCTACCATTAACTGCGGTAGAATCTTAGCTATTAAGAGTAAGGCATGAATCTGTCTCCCAATGTCTTCAAGCTCAATTTTCCATAATTTAAAAGTAGACTCGTTTTAAAAGATTTCAAATTAATAATAACATACTAGTTTTCTATTGCTGTGTAACAAACTGTCACAAATTTACCAGCTTAAAACAGCACTCAGCTCTGTAGGTCCAAAGTTAGGGTGAGTTCTACTGTAATCTTTGCTTTAGGTTTTACAAGGTGGAAATTAAGGCATTAGCCTGACTGGGCACTTATCCAAAAGTTCCGGGGAAGAGAAAGAGTCCAAGCTTGTTCAGATTGTTGTGCTAATTCAGTTCCATGTGGTTGTAGGACTGAGGTCCTGTTTCCCTGCTGGCTGTCAGCAGAGGGCTGCTCTCAGTGCCCAGAGGCCACCTACATTCTCTGTCACATGGCTCCTTTATGTCCTTTTGGTGTCAATCTCCCTGATACCTTCAGCCACCAGCCAGAAAAAGCTCTGTCTTTAAAGAGTTTGTGTGATTAGGCCAGGTGCAGTGGCTCATGCCTATAATCCCAGTCCTTTGGGAGGCCAAGGTGGGCAGATCACCTGAGGTCAGGAGTTCAAGACCAGCCTGACCAACATGGTGAAACCCCATCTCTACTTAAAAAAAAAAAAAAAAACAAAAATTAGCCAGGCATGGTGGCAGGCACCTGTAATCCTGGCTACTCGGGAGGCTGAGACAGGAGAATCGCTTGAACCCAGGAAGTGGAGGTTGCAGTGAGCCGAGATTCCACCACTGCACTCCATCCTGGGTGGCAGAGTCAGACATTGTCTCAAAAAAGAATAAGTGTGATTAGATTATAATCACCTGATAGGTTTCTGATTAACTCAAAGGTAACTGATAAATCCTTTTTGCCATATAAGGTAGCGTAATAAGGGCATGATATCGCATCCTATTCATGGTCCCAGGGATTAGGGTGAAAAACCTTGAGTACTGTTTTAGGATCCTGCCTATCAAGCCACCAGGTAGGATTTTCATGTCTTATTGTCACAAAGTGCCTCCATGTGCCTCATCCTACTTGCTTCTCAACAAGCCTGTGAAAAAACAGAACAGATATTATTGTCCCTTTTTGACTAGGAGCAAATCGGGTACATGAGCGATTTCCCAGGCCAAGCCCCTGTGCCCTGTTTTCTCCATAAAATACTTCCCAGTAGTTCTTTATTTTAAAAGGATCTTTCTCAAGTTAAATGACCTTGGGCTTACAATCTGGATTTTTTTAACTGTGTAATTGCATTTTAATTCTCAGTGCCAAAATCTAGCAGCCTGAAATGAAATGTTCTTTACCTTCTTGTCCCTGCTTACAGTAGTTAGAACAGCTTCTCTATTTCTGCATCACTAGTCCATGGGATCGACTACAGGAAAAATTGAAAAGGAGACCTAATTCATTTTTCATACCCTTTCTCACTTCAACCTTTTTCCAACTGGTAATTAACACTTCCCTTCATGCCTATGTCTGCCTGCTGTTCTACCCAAAATTATTCTAGGCACCTTCCTATACTTGTCATACTTTCATTTACAAGGTGTTGAGCGGTTCACTATTTGATAAATTCTCCTCTGACCTTACAACTCAGCAGCAAAGGGTGCAATAAAAAAGCATAATCATGTGTGACCCTACCCCCATGCCATACACTGTCCCAAAGACCCCTTGCTATGTAGAGGAGGGAAAAACATTCTCAGGAATACATTCCCAGGCTCATGGGAAAATGAAAGAGGAGCTGGTTCCAACTCTATCTCCTGCCACTCCCTGAATAAGAGCATGACATGGTAGATTTTCAGGTGGTATCTGAATGGAATAGATGTTTGTACAATGTATCTTCTTGAAGAAACAATGTTATGTGAATATATGTCTCATAAATCCCCATTCGGTACAAGGGTAAGAGGTGTCTCACAAACACCTGAGTTACACAAATCATGCCCTGACTTGGTATTTGTTTATCCCGACCTGATTTTCGATTCTCAAAGAGAATGCTTGTTTTTGGATACAACTATTTTTCTGAGAAAATAGACATTCCGCTAATGTTATCAAGAAGGATATTAAATGATATTTCACTCATTCAATTAGCACCAGCTCAAGAAACTTAATTCTAAATAATGTAATCTTAGGAACAAAATCTCCTAATTTTTCTTTTGAGTCATCTAAGACTCTCTGCACATAGTGGCTTTTCCACGAATACGAGTACCATTTGTTGTCTGTGACTGAACTGGTTAAAGAAAAAAAACCCTTAAGCAACATTTTGATAATCTTTCTTTTATCAATAGTACTTTTGGGGACCTTATTCTGGATGTTATTGAATTAGCCAGGTAGTTAAATGGCCATTTTCAAGTGGTGTACGAAAGAGAGCTCGTCTTCCATGGAGGCTGTGTCATACGAGAACAGCAGTGTCTCATTAGCTTCTCATCAGCTTAGATAAGGTTAAAGAAAAGTCTCTACAAAGTCCAGAAAATGTCATCTTCCCACTGTCACTAGGGTATTGGACAATATTCACAGATGAATCCCTGAGTTCCTAATTTGTGTGAATCCTAAAATTTTTTTGGGCTAATTAGTCTATGTGTTTTATTTTACTGTGTTCCCAATTTACTAACCTTCTTGCCTTGTGAAAAGGGAGGTATGTGCTAGGGAACAGGGTCTCAGGAATTCATAATGAAACAGCTCATCTTTCCCACCACTGCCCAGGAACTTGGCCTTGGAGTTGGGGGCACCTAAAGGCAACTCACCACTAATTCCATCCTTTGTTCAACTTAAAAGGCAAATTCCAAACATTCTGAGTGCCCAATATACTCCTCTCGTGACAAATGGTACTTCATTTTCAAATTTTCCCTTTCACTTGTGTTTTATCTAATTATTAAAAAGCTAAATGCACCTGAAAATCGTACATTCAGAACATTCATCAGGTCTTAAGCATCTACAAATGCCAGGCACTGTTATACACCCTGGAGATACAGTGAGCAAGAGACATCACTTCCTACCCTCTTAGATTTTACATTCTAATTTAGAACAGACCAAAGGTAAGAAGAATATAAACGGAGAGAAGCTCAGATTGTAAATAGCAACCTTGAGATACGATGGGGACTTTTTCTGGACAAGGGAAATAAGAAGCACACGGAGAACAGTATTTCTCAAACTGTTACCATGAGCCATGTGGGCATGAAACAGTCATGTGGGACAGACATTTATTCACAAATTGGATTGCTAGATCCCTTCTAGGACCTGATCACTTTCTGGTAGTGGAGCCTAGAAATATGCATTTTTAACAATTTCCCACAAGTGATGTGATTCTGATAAACACTGAAGTTTGAGACCTCCTTCCAGAGAAATATCTTAGACAAGCAGCAGAATTTGAGGTGGCCTTAAAGTATCCTAAATCCCAGGGGAAAGATTGCTGAAAATCCTACATCCAATAATTTAAAACACTTTGTAAACCTTGACATCAGTTAACTTGAATGTAATTAATCCAAGGCCAATAAAAGACACGCACATGGCTAATGGTCCTGGTTTTTTAGATCCAAAGATCATTGCTCTCCAGCTCTTCTCTGTTTGAATTCAGTGAGCTTCTCTGAGCTGGGGTAGCTGATGACTTGCCTCTCACAGTAAATTGGTATTTTTCTCATCTTTGAGCCTGCATTGAGAATTATTTCCTTTCTATGGGGGCAGTGCAGAGAAAGGAATGTGCCCAAGGAGGAAATGGGTATGTGCTTACCTTCCTAAGAAAGTGGGCGTCAGAAGAGGAGTGCCTCCCTCTAATTTCTTATTCTATTTTACATACAAAGTGGTGGAAGAAAAATGAAGGAGAAAATGTTGATGGTATTGACTTTAACAAATTTTTTTACTTCCATAGGTTTTTGGGGAACAGGTGGTATTTGGTTATATGAGTAAGTTCCCTAGTGGTGATTTGTGAGACTTTGGTGCACCCATCACCCGACCAGTATACATTGAACCCAATTTGTAGTCTCTTATCCCTCACCTGCCTCCAACCCTTTGCCCCAAGTCTCCAAAGTCCATAATATCATTCATATGCCTTTGCATTCTCATGGCTTAGCTCCCACTTATGAGTGAGAACATACGATGTTAGGTTTTCCATTCCTGAGTTACTTAACTTAGAATAATAGTCTCCAATTTGATGGTATTGACTTTTGACTTACCTTTGCAAATACAAAGACAAAAAAACTACAGTTAAGGTTATCAGCTTCAAAGAAACTCATTGGAAAGGAAGGGGAAAATTAGAAGAATTTGATACTGAGGCGCTTCATCTGTAATCATAGGAAAGTGCCTTAAAACTGAGTCCTTTAGTCAGATTTAGTGCACGTTAGAGTCACGTGGGGAGGTTTTACGAACTCCAATGCTCAAACCAATTAGATCAGAATCTTCTCTGGGGATGCTGCCCAGGCATCAGGGTTTTGTAAAGGTGCCTGGGGTTCCAGAGTGCAGCCAAGGCTCAGACTGATAGCTCTACAGGCCTTAATTGCAGAGCAATATAGGGACCAACTCACTTATGCTTAATGCAATCTAATTCTGCCTTGGAGCAAAAGAAGGTAGTTGCTTTCAGAAATCTAAGTTGACTGTTTCCAAAAAATTGCACAACTTGCAACAACTCCCATAGATTTCATGATATAGTTTTGTAAACAATTAATCTAATTTATTAAATGCACCTAAGAATATAAAAGTTATCTCCTATCTTATACTTTTCTTCAAATGAGTCTACAGATGATATACCATCATATAGTTTCTTAAGACAAAATATTTGCTCAAAGAAATGCCAACTATGATCTATGGGTAGGGAACCTAATTATTACTGATTGTGAAATGGCAGAAAATGAAATTATTTTCATTTTTATTTTTCAATGCAGCGGAAAGAAAAACTCAGATCGTGACTTGCTAAAGCTGATTGTGAAAATACCCAGGCAATAGCATGAACAGGCACAGTGAGAGCTCTAGGACTTTCTGCTAAATAAAACATGGTTTTAAAAGCCCGGTAAAGAACTAGAATGTCCTTTTCTGACTTCTTCACAATCTTTTTTCATTCTTACCTTTTTTTAATGGAAGAAAAGAAAAGAAGAGTTCTTCTTGCTCATCAGCCCCAAAGATGTTTCCAGGTCTCAATATCCAAGATTAAGTCGTCACGGCCTCAGAGCATGCTCTATTTAGTGGGGCCAGACCATTTTTAAATGCCACTTTACTGGGATATCAGCCTGGACTTAGAAATTATGACAGATTCCAGCTTGTGACCACACCACAAACTATACACAGAGTGGCCTAGCTGGTGAGTTATTTTGACAACTTTGGAGAGACTCTCCTTCACAGGCCCCAAATAGATGGAAAGAAGCTGGTGTTAGGGCTTCCAGAAAGGTATGAGGCAGAGAGAATTCTGGGAAGAGTTTAGCAAATATTGGCATCTGCTCCAGAGCTTTGATTCTTCCCCCACCCAGAAAATGACTCAGAGATAAAAGTTGGGGATAAGGTGGTGGTCCCGTAAGCCACGGTTTACAGAAAGGAGCCAAGGCAAATGTCATGTTTCCATCAGTGGAATCTTTACAGACTTGCTAAGTGAAAGGAGGCACCAAGACTACTGGGGATACCTTAGAGAAGTCTCGAGAAACAAATCAACAACCTGTGAGCCTCTCCCAGTGAGACCTCAGAAACTCAATGTCCAGGCCTTCTGCACCAGGAACTCTACTTTCTAGATTTCCAGTAAGAGCTGGAGAGTGAGGAAAAGCCTGCTTAGTGGAATCATACAAAAGCTGTCATTTTAGCCTTTCTCCCCTTCATTCCCTTCAAGACCGCTATTCCGAAGCCGCATGTCATCATCCCTTTGTTCAATCAAAATCATGGCTTGGATCTTACATACACTCTTAGATATAAGTAACAGCTCACAAAATTATTTTTATGTATCTCCATAAATCACTAATAGCTGCTTGAAATGTTCCCCTTCCCAAGAGTATTTTCCTCATTAGCAAAGCCTTAACCTAAAGGGTTTGTAGTCTGTTCCTAAAATGTCAAGAATCAGGTAGACAAGAAGCTAAGAAGGGTGGTGAGAGGTCCCAGGCAATGAATACTTTCTTTGAAAATTTTTTTCTTTCTTTCTTTTTTTTTTTTTTTTTTTGAGATGGAGTCTCACTCTGTCACCCAGGCTGAAGTGCAGTGGTGAAATCTCAGCTCACTGCAACTTCCGCCTCCTAGGTTCAAGCGATTCTCCTGCCTCAGCCTCCTGAGTAGCTGTGATTACAGGTGCATGCCACGACGCCCGGTTAATTTTTGTATTTTTAGTAGAGACGTGGTTTTCACCACATTGGTCAGGCTGGTCTCGAATTCCTGACCTCGTGATCAGCCTGCCTCAGCCTCCCAAAGTGCCAGGATTACAGGCGTGAGCCACCGAACCCAGCCTCTCTGAAATTCTAACACTGAGACTGATGGGAGTGAATGAGCTGGCCCACCGTGGCTGTTACCATGAGCATGAAGCAGCCCCACATCTCACCCCCACAACGTATATTCCCACTCAGTCACCACGTGATAAGAAACGTGCCCCATGACCAGCTTTTATTTTGCTGCTTGCCCACCACTCTCCTACTCCAGGCTCTGTTCAGCCTTTTCCTAGATCTATAACCTCCAGTCATTTTCAAGGAGCACTCCTGCAGTAGAAAATTATCGAGCAACAGCCTCAAGATATGCCTGTTGAAATTATATATGCGAAAATACATTACCTAAAACTCAAGAATGAATACTTAGTGAAAGTTCGTCCTCAATGATGCTAAATGTTTATCCACATTCCAAACAGTCTTCTTGAGATCTTTGAATGTATTTGACTCACGCTTGGTCTTGCATCCCTTCTGTCATTCAGCAAATATGCATGGAGCACCTACTATGTGCAGGCACGAGATATGAAAAGATGGCTAAGATGTCCTTCTGCTGGGAGATTGCTGTCTATGGTTGCCATCTGCCTCCCATCTGTCTCCCTTTTCACAACATCCTAACACTCTTTAAGACAATGTTTATATTTCCAGGTATTAAAAGTTAAGGATGTCATTTTCCAGCCTAGGAAATTGCTTTATTTTGATTCAGCCAATACAAGCCAAATGAGTACAATAAAGCACTGATTACTGTAACTGTGCAAATAGTTGGTACCATCACAGCTGGGAGAAGAAACATCATTTAACAGCGGATCTCTATGAGACAACTTCTCAGTAACTGAAGTGAATTAACATACTCAAACTGGAAAGAAATTAGCATTCCAGTTCCTGGCTGATCTCTGAAGTCTGAGCAAACAAATACCAAAAAATAATAATAATTAATTAATTTTAAAAAATCCTAGAAAAAAAATTGAAGAAATAGTAACTGAACCACAATCCTCATCTTTTTAGCAACTAAGGCTCTCCTCCTCCTAAAACAATGCCAAATTTCCAGCCTATTTTTTCTCCCAGTGCTCCAAGTAAATATCAAGAACATAGAATTTACTTATCCATATTCCCAACAGTCTTCTTGAGATCTTTGAATGTATTTGACTCACGCTTGGTCTTGCAACCCTTCTGTCGTTCAGCAAATATGCATGGAGCCCCTACTATGTGCAGGCATAGTTCTTTTGCCACCAAAATGCAGAAAGGTGCGGTGATAGAAAGAGCATTGTACGGAAGTGTTAGAAGACCATGATCCTACTGACAATTTTTCATCTTTCAAGCCCACATCTTTTTCATTGCAAATGCTCACATCATAGAGTTGTGACAGAATTGAATGAGGTTACATGTGTTAAAATATTTCCTACAGTTCCTGGCTTTCATTACATCTTTCCTCAAAAAAGTACCTAAGGAGTTAGAGAGTCCTTCACACTGGACTTCATCAGTTCCATGAAGAGAATGACTTATAATTATTTCTCCATTTTTCCTCCCTTCAAGCCCTCAATTTCACTTGCAGTCCAGACTTTCTCTCTAGGCTGTGGCCAATAGAACTGGTACCAATACCCAGGTGACAAATCTAAGGTGTTTCCTCCATCTTTCCTGATCCTGTGGCTGTGGAAAGCCAGGCTTTCTTGATCCTTGATTTTAGCCTGGAGGGTGAGGGAGTTGCTTCTCAGGATGGAATGAAGAATCAATAGGTGGTCCTGCATCAAAGTTTACCACTTGATTTATTTGGCCTAAATTTACACACCCAATGAGATCTTATTTGTGATAGAAATAGAAGGGACTGGGAGCTGTAATACACAATCCTATTACAGAAAGTCTAACTGAGAAAAAAGCAGACCCAAGAAAACACTAAATATCTAAAAGACTGGCTCTTAAAAAAAAAAGAATTAGTCTCATTCCACCTAATCCTCTGCAGTCAATGAATGGCAAACTGCTGTGAAAAAAAAAAAAAAAAAATTCACTTGATGAAGTTCGGTAATAATCTGAAATTCTTAAAAAGAAAATAGATTATCCCGGAAAACAGTCCTCTGACACTAGAGACATTTAAACAGAGACTGGAGAGCCATTGGCTTCGCGAGGGTGGTTGAATGAGGTGGCTTTGAGGACCCTCTGTGCTCTGTGAGCCCTAACTCTCCGTTTTATTTTAGTTTCTAGATGTCGTGCAGCTGGTTCATCGGAAGTCCTGGAAAGTGGGTGATATCTTCCATGCAGTTGTCCAGTACTGCAAAATGCATGAGGAGCAGAAGGATGGGAGACTGAGTCTCTTTGACTGGCTCTTGGAACTGGGATAATAAGGCAGTCTGCCGTATAGATCATTCCTTCCCTTTATTCCAACTTAGATTACAGTGGTTTGTTCTAAATGCTCTAAACATTCTCAAAACATCACATCACATTAGCAGAACTATAAAAAAAAATCTGCTACTCAGATCCACTGCATACAGAATAAGTCAGAGGAAAAGCAAAATATAGGTCTGTCCAAATTCATACAACTTGTGGGTGAGTTCCAAAGAGCTTGGATTAGAAGGGCTGGACAAAGAGAGAATTCAATGGGGCCCAAATTAGAATGCTTATAATGAGACCCAATCTCCAGGAAAACAACACTCACATAAGTTTAATCATATAAAATGATTTGTAATGTCTCTAATTAGATGAATCAACTAGAAACAAACTCAGTGGTCAAAATAATTTTTAAGAGTATTCCGTAACCTATATTTTACTTTTCTGATTATATTAAGGGGCTGCCAGCCCGGAGAAATACTTAAGATATGGGTGAGAAATCCCCAGACTTTTATACAAAAGATTTCCACTTTCAAATCAATGTCAGTAGACATTGATAAAAGTATAGCAGCATCCTCTACTGAGGTGATTTCATTTATTCCCTGCAGCCCACTGATAAATATCTCACTTCTCCCAAATAGTATGTGGACTCCCAGCTAAGCAGAAAACTATTGTCATTCAACTGAAGAAGAGGAAGATAAAAGATTGTCTTGTTTCCATCACTGTATTACTTGTGTAACATGATTACATAATTCTTATCCTAAGAGAAAGCTTTCATATTTAAAAAAAAGTCTTTTCAGATAAAATCTGCTTGTGTCTTGAATAATATGAAATACAAACTTTCACTTTATTTTATTGTAAATTATAAAGAGATTATTGTCTTAAATAATATATTGAGTTAGCTTCAAGCTTCCTAAAATATGAAGAGATTGTTGTCTAAAGTCACATATTGACATTGAGCTCAGTGGCCTGTTTCATCACGTATGTGCTGCTACCTGTACAGCAGACATGCCGCTCCAGTGACATTTATAATGACAGAAGCAGGGTAATGGTCTTGTGTTTGACATGATCAGTTAGGATCATAGACTTTCCCTGACTCGTAGATATTAGCCTTGAATTGGGGGAAAAGAAGACTTTGACACATTTTAGTTATTTTAATAACAGAGATTTACTCTTTTGAAAAATAAAGGTATCTAATGTCTCCCTAATAAGTCTTCTTTCCTTCCAACTAAATGACCTACACGGACTTTTATTTTCTTGATCAAAGAGGTGTTTATTAAGGACTTCTGGATAACTATACTTTTACTCTATTTTTAAAGATCACAAAGTAATTTTAAATGTGAACAGGTTCCCATACCATGAATGCTGGCCTCACCTTCTCTATCATCCACATTTTGAAATGCAAAGAAAGCTCCCTTGTAAGCCATACTTCCTTCCCCACTCCCATCCTAGGATACTTGCCCAGTGCTCATTAGGCATTTCTTATTCAGATAGTCCAAATTTAGGTTATTATGCTTAATTTGACACATTAACTAAATGCCCAGTTTTAAAATATATCCATCAATTCACGCTGAAATGTGCTTCTTTGTGCTATCAAATGGAATAGAATACACTTATTTTTTAAACAATCCCAGAATACTGTGTGTAGACTTTTGTTGTGCTCAAATAAATGTTTACTTATCTTACAAAGCTCAAATACTGGATTGTAACCATGTGATGAAGTTATCTATGTTGTACCTAACATTGCAAATTAATCAATAAATCTCTGTTGTCAGATTGTTGATTATTTTTTCTGGAAGAGCTTTAAGCACCTCATAGAAAAAACAGTCCCAGTACAATTGTATAAAGGCCTATATATCCCTTAGAAAAGTTTTGTTGTCCTGCTTTCATTTTTTTGAAAAAGTAAATGTTCTTGGCTTAATTTGTTAAAATCAGTAATATTCATGGAAATCAGTTTCTCAAACTTGGCACTATTGACATTTGGGACCACCTCATTCTTTGTTGCAGAGGGTTATCCTGAATATTGTGAGATGTTTAGCAACATCCCTGGCCTCTACCCACTAGATGCTAGTAACTAACCCCTCACAGGTGTGATAACCAAAAATATTCCCAGCCTTGCCAAATGTCCCCTGGAGGCCAAAATCATCACTGGTTGAGGACCACTGTTGTCAAGAATGCATTGAAGGACCAGGGCCTGAGTCTCTATGAGGTGTTAAAGGAGGACGTGCCTTCAGCCGCCTAGGGAATCCCCATAAGGAGCCTGAAAACCGGGCATTTCCCTACCCAAGGCCCATGGAGTGTGGCTTTTACCTTAAATCTGGGGAATAGGAGAAAGAGGCACAAGACAGACAAGGAGTCTACAAACCTGGGGATCAACTAACCTAGACTCAAGTAAACTCAAAGTAAACTCATCAGGGATAGAGGTAAGTGGATGATGCTCTTTGAATTCAGGAAATAAACTATTAGAATATATGCAAATAGAACATTGAGAATCATGGGCACTTTGTTTTATTCACTAATAAGGAGGCATGAACATGCTTTGAATTCTCCAGTCAGTCAGGGGATATTGTTAAATAAAAACAAACTCTGGACATTGGCAAAGAGAGGCTTTATTTAAACAGATTATGGCAAGCGGGGTTGGGGAACTCTTTCAGTGGAGGATGGAACTATTCCAATAACAAGAATGCTCCAACCACAAGATCTGCAAATGTGTTAAGGGTTAGGCAAAAAGGAGTTTTGTGTTTGTTTGTTTGTTTGTTTTGTTTTGTTAGAAAGAGGAGTAAATAAGGCTAGAATGAACCAGGTGTGGGGAATGGGATGGACAGGGTGAGCCAGTGAGGTGGCGTGATCACACAGTAGATTAGAGAATGTTTTATCCTGAGATCAGCCTGGTCTCAGGAGGGGTCTCTTGTTATGGCAAGCGGGGTTGGGGGACTCTTTCAATGGAGAATAGAACTATTGCAATAACAAGAATGCTCCAACCACAAGATCTGCAAATGTGTTAAGGGTTAGGCAAAAAGGAGTTTTTTGTTTGTTTGTTTTGTTTTGTTAGAAAGAGGAGTAAATAAGGCTACAATGAACCAGGTGTGGGGAATGGGATGCACAGGGTGAGCCAGTGATCGCACAGTAGATTAGAGAATGTTTTATCCTGAGATCAGCCTGGTCTCAGGAGGGGTCTCTTCTTATACTGAGAAGGGGCCAAAGTTCAGGGAACCAAGGAAGGGAGAGAAGCTTAACTAAAGTTTAGTTACAAACCTTTGTTCCAGTTGGTCAATAGATACAGCTTGGCTAATTATGAGATAAAAAACGAAAATTTGGAGGGTCTGTGTCTGGCCTTGTTAGAAGTAAACCAGAGAGTGATCCACGAGTCTTAAGTCGTCTGTGGAAAGATCATTCCTTGCACTAAGCTATTTCTAGAACATACTGGTTGGGGGAATTTCCCTAACCATGGCTGTTTACCAGCATCTCAGTTGTCCATATCAAAGACTCAGCAGATAGTCCTTAGGAAACCATTGTCCTTGACATCTTCTTGGGGCCCACTGTCTTCCTTTCACAGTGTAAGCGCATGTCCCTTCATTTAATAAACATTTTCCTAGGAACTACTGGGTGCTGGGCACCATGCTAGACAGTTGGAATGAAGAGCTGAATCACGCGGCATGGCACTTAGGAGCTCACAGACTATAGGGGAAATGTACACATCAAAGTCTAACAGAACAATATAATAATGGCTATAATGCAACTCTATATGGACTGGCAAGGCAGGGAACACTGGGGAATATTCATTGCTATGTGGTGGAGAAAATATTTCAGCTCAGCTTTTGGGGTATGAAGGAGTCATTTAATAAGTAGGGAGAAGAGACCCCAAACTGCTGAAGAGAAGACATTCAGAGCAGAAAGATAATTAGCAGCAGTCTGGATATGCAGCCTGAGACACGGCTGGAAATTTGATGTAATTGTAACACAGCTATGAGCTGAGGGAGTCACCAGGTGTGAAGCTGGGAATAGAAATCAAAGCCACATTTTAAGAGGCTCCCCATCTATGCAAAGGAGTCCAAAATATATTCTTTTTTTTTCCCCCATAGAGACAGGGTCTTGCTATGTCGCCCAGGCTGGTCTTAAACACCTGGCCTCAAGCAATCCTCCTGCCTTAGCCTCCCAAAGTGCAGAGAGTACAAGCATAAGCCCCTCTATTTGTCCCAAAATGTATTATTTGAGCACGAATCCTTTTAATCAAAGGAGATAGAAAATCAGATGTACATGTAAGAAAAATTATATATGTGAATACATGTGTGGGCCACTGAGTTTTATCTTACATTTGAGACAATGCCATGGAAGACAGCTTTGTTCATGGGCATGTTCATGGGTAGAGGGGTTCCCCACAGTTCTATGATATGATTTCTTCTTCTCATACAGCACTCTGCATCCGGGGTCTCCAAGACCAACCTCAGACTCAATGATATGCTGGAAGGACCCACAGGACTCAGAAGCCATGTATCCATGGTTATGATTTATCACAGCAAAAAGGAATGAATTAAGCTCAGCAAGGGAAAAGGGCACATAGAGCAAAGTCCGGGAGAAATAAATACAAGCTTCCAGGTGTCCCTTCCCAGTAGAGTTGCACAGGATGCACTTAACTCTTCAATAATGATACATGACAACACACGCGAAGTGTCGCCAACCAGGGAAGCCTTAGTGTCCGGGTTTGGTACTGGAGGTCAGTCATGTAGGCATGCAGCACCCACGTGACGGACCTTGGCTACTCATGCTCCAGCCCCCACTACACACCAAAAATGGATGTTTATGATACATCCCATTATTAGAGTAAATTATGTGGCCAAAGTGGTACAGCATGGCCCAAGGCCTCAGGCATGCAAAACACTCTTACCAGGCAGAACATTCCCAAGGCTCAATGCTTAGCTCTTAGGAACCAGCCAAAAGTCAGTCCTGGAAATAGACCTCTCTGGGGAATGTGCAGGGTTGAAACAACCCAGGCATCATGAGTTAACCCTTTCCTGCCCAAGCACTTATCACCATCTGCCTTCTAGCATGGCACATTGCGTACAGGTGGTCTCTGTTGCTGATTGTGAATTCCTGGAGGATGAAACCACATTTTACTCGTCTATGAATTCTGCCATAGTCCCTAGCACAATAGCGGATGTTATGTAGACCTGGAAAACTAATAGACCTTGGGGAACTGAGGCCTTGGTTTATATCTGATAAAGTTCAGCCATTAATTCTAAAACTACAGTTTTATTTTTATGCTCTTCTTAGCTTATTAGAGACTGCTACCTGGCATATAAAGCTGCTCAGAATTTCTTATGAAATTACTTTTGGATTCAGGCAAGTGAAGCGTTCTACAAACATTTGCATGTTGTTGGAATTGTATAAGAATGTTTGACGTAAAATATTTTAATACCACAAAACTGAGACTATTTTAGAGGTATTAGAATGAATTTAAGTGATATCCAGGACATTACCAGCAGAACTTGGAATCCAATCAAGTGCAGGCAGGTTCGAATGAAACTAACAGAGGAAGAAAAACATTCTTTGAGCCTCCCTTGCTCCCAGCAAAACTTGTTTGTGCACAAAATGTTAATCTATTTTTATTGTTGCAAAGATCCTTTAACCAACTAAATTTTTCCTGAATAGTTCCTTCAAAAATGCCCTCTTGAAAGTCCTCTAATTTCCCATTCTTCTGTTCAGTGTTCACAGCTCCTTTCTGCAAAAAGCTAAGGGAAGCCCTTCCATTCCTTGGAGATGGCCTTCCATTAAACAATTATCAACATGTTTTTATTCCTTTTTGGAAGATTCCCACCACTTTGTTGAACTCCATCCCATTACTATACCCTTCATTCTGCCAGTTTCTGATCTAGAACATGGTAGGGACTCCGGATTTTACAATGATGCTCTGAGCACTCAAAACCCAGGTGCAAAGATTGTTTTATGGCAAATCGTGATGTCCTTGGGCTGAACATCTGGCCCAAATATTTATACACACACAACCTGTCTCTCTATTAGTATGTCACAAACAACAACATGCAGGACAGATAAAACAGAAACAAGAGTTTCTGTTCTTACAGAGAAAAGTAGAATTAATGGCTCTTTGTTGAGACAGAATAAAGGCGGATGAAACCAAGACAGCCTCTAGCTTTAAGTGCCATGGATCCTTCTCCAGGCCCATGTGTGACATTTGTGAAGGATACTCTTGCCGACTGTGTCAAGCAACAGGACCCAATTATTTTAAACCTAGCAATATTTTTACTAATCAGGGCAGTAGACCACATGATGACCTTTTATGAAATGCACGGAAATGCCAAAAAAAAAAAAAAAAAAACCCACCTCACTGAATTAGATCAGTCATTACCCTCTGCATTTTTGACAGCAGAATCTTATTTTAAATATTCATTGCAGGTATATAGTATTGGAGAGTTCTAGGCTCTCCGGCTCTCCAATATATTTACCAAATGCTTTTGATACTTCATTTTTTAATGTATGTTTTAATATAACAAGTCGTGAATAATCTGATATATAAGACCATTTCTAACTGAACATTTTGTATATTGCTGTCTAGCAGAGAGATGATACCAAGGAAGGAACAAAGCAATTGTCTGGGGTGCGGTGTCTAAACAACGTGAAGGTTAGAAGAAGCTTGCTCCTAAACATCCAGGAACAGTTTGTTTCTTTGTTTTCTAAATGCCTCTGGCAAGAGGCAGAGAAATCAAATTTTGAACAACTATTCCCAAAGAGGTGAGGAAAACTCTGAGAGTGTTGAGTGAGACAAAGAAAAAATGTAGCTATAATTCTTAACATTTTTATGGCATAGGCTTGTGTTAGTCCTTTCTCATGCTGCTATAAGGACATACCTGAGACTGGGTAATTTATAAAGGAAAGAAGTTTTACTCTCAGTTCCGCAGGGCTGGGGAGGCTTCAAGAAACTTACAATCATGGTGGAACCCATCCTTCATGGGTGAAGAACCCATCCTTCTTCACATGGCAGCAGCAAGGAGATGCGTAGAGTGAAGTAGCAGGGACAAGCCCTTTATAAAACCATCAGATCTCGTGAGAACTCACTCACTATCATGAGAACAGCATGGAGGTAACTGCCCCCATGATTCAATTACCTCCCACCAGGTCCCTCCTACAACACATGGAGATTATGGGAGCTATAATTCAAGATTATCTGGGAGGGGACACAGCCAAACCATATCAAGGCTCTTTTGAAAACCTGAGGAAAGCTGCAAATACACAAAATTTAGGGGTTATTGGTAGAACTTCAGGGAGCTGTTCAAGCCTTCTACATAACTCGGTTCTAGTTTCTGAATAGTAGGGCTCATGTCTTCTTCATTTGCTTTCACCTTCCAGACCCTGCCTCTGGTTCCTATCGTCAATTCTTATTTGTTTGAAGAAAACCCACCCTCATTTATGAGGACGGCAGATCAAAAAACTCAGATTCTGACCAGAAGTAATGCTACTTTAAAGGTTTTTGTTTTTTGGTGTGTGTAGAGCATGTTCTCATGAAGATCATTACAGAAATGCAAATTAAAACCACAATGAGATACCACCAGTCAGAATGGCTATTATTAAAAAGTCAGGGCTGGGCATGGTGGCTCAGGCCTGTAATCCCAGCACTTTGGGAGGCTGAGGCAGGCAGATCACTTGAGGTCAGGAATTCAAGACCAACCTGGACAACATGGTGAAACCCTGTTTCTACTAAAAATACAAAAATTAGTTGGGTGTGGTGGAGCGTGCCTGTAATTCCAGCTACTTGGGAGGCTGAGGCAGGAGAATTGCTTGAACTCAGGAGACAAAAGTTGCAGTGAGCCGAGATTGCACCACTGCACTCTAGCCTGGGTGACAAGGTGAGACTCCATCTCAAAAAAATAAAAATAAAAAAGTCAGAAAATAATAGATGCTGGCAAGGTTGTGGAGAAAAACTCATTCCATTCATTAGCTACTCGTTCCACCAATACTTATTCAACACCAAGCATGCTGAGCACTGTTCTAGATGACACAAAGAAATGCAATGGAGAGCAGAGAGGGTTTTCAACATTTGAGAATTTCCACTCTAGTAAAGGACATAAATGATGAGCCATAACAAAAATATATTAATAATATATAAAACTTAGTTGGGCATATAGCAACAATAAAAAATGCTAGAAAAAAAACTTTAATTTAAAAGCAGAGTAAGGTTTAAAGGGTAGTGAAAAGTGTTCATTTAGGTCATGCCTCCCCTCAGTGGTTCCAAGGGCCTTTGAGTAAATGTGAAAGTTTTTGAAGAAGTCAAAGAGTGACACTTGAGATGGTCCCTGAGGACTGACTCACTAGTCAATCTCAGCATGCGATTATTGGTACCAAGTAAAGAGGTGGTGAGAAAGCCAGCTATTGCCTGCACCTCATCAACTGAGAGGGTCTGTGCTTGCTTGTTATAACCGTGAGAACAATGCTGGAAGCGGGGTTGAAAGAGTAAACTATATATCAAAGGACAGTAGTGTACACGGAGCCAATACATCTCTATTCTTTGGACAGTTTTTCCTCTCAGCCCCATGTCTCTTTGGTGATGTATTTTTCCCACCTTTATTCTCTCCTGACATTTTCCAGCTGTCTCCAGCACGTTCTGTCCCTGCATGCTGCATTCGTTTGTCCTGCGCTGCCACATGGGTGGGTGACACAGAAGCGCAGGTTGCCTGAGTCATGGGGTCTCATCCTTCAGAATGTCAAGGGCAATACCATCATCGCTGGAACTACCCTGACTGATGAATAAACATCATTTTAAAATAAACAAATTTGGCCAGGCACAGTGGCTCACTCTGTAGTCCCAGCCCTTTGGGAGGCCAAGGCAGGTGGATCACCTGAGGTCAGGAGGTCAAGACCACTCTGGCCAACATGGTAAAACGCTGTCTCTACTAAAAATACAAAAATTAGCTGGGCATGGTGGCGGGTGTCTGTAATCCCAGCTACTGGGGAGGCTGAGGCAGGAGAATCGCTTGAACCCGGGAGGCAGAGATTGCAGTGAGCCGAATCCACACCATTGCACTCCAGCCTGGGAAACAAAAGTAAAACTGCATCTCAAAAAAATAATAAATAAATAAATAAATAAATTTATTCATGGAAGAAAATGAAGTTTCCTGACTCAGCATGGAGGTTTTGGCCAGCCCTTCAGTTAAGACAGTGACATCCGCTAATGAGTATCTCACAGAAGTCCGAGAAGGGTCAACTTCTAATAGTTCTGGAAAGCAGGACAGCCTTGACAAGAAGCTTACCAATGCTAATTAGCCAGTGTTTTATTAATGATTTCTTCCTCTGTGCTCCTTGTTCAGGTCCACGTACTTATTTGAATGTGGGGGAAAAAATTGAATGTAATTTTATAGGTAAGCAAATCAAGATGCAGAGATTTGAGAGGACCTGAGCAAGGAAGCAGAGACAACAACAACTAGCATTTATGTGAGCACTTGCTCCATGTTCCAGACATGATTTGAAGTGCTGTACGTGCATTGACTGATTTACTCTCCGCCATAACTCCCTGAAATAGGTATTATTATTACCACTTCGTTACTGAAAAACTTGGAGCACAAAGAGAATAAGTGGCTTGCTTAAGGTCACAGAGCCAGAAACAGGCAGAGCAGGATCGATCCCAGGCAGATGAGCCTCAGAGGCTGCACTCTTAGCTTCTGCTGCAAGGTTGTTAATTGGCATAAGTTGGAGGCATGAAAAGCAAGGGAGGTCAGAGGACGGACAATGCAGAGAGAAAAAGAAGCAGAGTCATAACCCACAAATCATTCTTTCTCGATTGTATTATGTATTTTCTCAGCCACCGTGACTCTTCTAAAGTAAGAAGAGAGAACAGTGAATAAAACTGTGTTATTTACTTGACATTGAGCACAATTAAGGCTGGGAAAGTGGAGCTGATGGCTATTTATATGGTTGGGTTGACTGTTTGAGAGCATCCCTGGGGAGGAGCCTCTACTTCTAGACCATTCATATAAGCTGCCTCCAGGCAAACACTGCATTTAACCGCAACATGTAAAGATGCCCACAATCTGGAAGAACACCAGGTTATGTTATCCAAAACTTTGAAATTTACAATTTAAAATAAAAGTTTCTTCATAAGGCACCAAAAAAAAATGTTTGGCTTCCCTCATAATGCTTTTAGAAGTATTTTTAAAATGCTATATTATATGTATCCTTTAAAACGCTATATTATATTAAATACTCAATGAATAATGCTGTGCCATTCGTCTGTTCAAAATGGAAAATTAAGCAGCAAACCAAAAAGCAGAATTTTTCAGTGGATCGCAGAGGGAGCGTGCGCGAGCCAAACACTCAGCATGGGAAGAATGAACGAATCCTAAACACACTGGGAGATGACTTTCAAATTCTCCTTTTAAACTTGACTCCAGGAGGCAACGAGAAAAGAGAAAAAGTAACAGGAGGTTATTTTTCAAAGTAACAAATGCCAACGTGAATTCATTACACGTCTAGGAGTTAGAGGAATCTTCCCTTTAGACAGGCCGATGGAAAGAGGGTATGCACAACGTCACCACAGTACACAGACCTGTTGGTCACTAATTATACACTGAAAATGACAACTGTCCTGTCCCAATCTGGGCATTCATAGTGACTGTGAGTGATGGAGGGGATCTTTGGCGTGAAGCAATCCAAAGAAAATTGGTTACACTGCCAAGGGCCACATGGGTCATGGCCAAAGTGGAAGCAGATGATTATCACATACAGTGACACCGTGTAGTAGAGGCTTTTTGTCCCCTAGTCAGCAGCATGCCTTCTCTCTCTCCTTTTTACCGTTTTTTTTTTTTTTTTTGGTAGGCATCCACCTTCCTGCACATAACCTATGTGATGCAAGAGAAGCTGACTGTATCCCAACTCCCAGGGTGGATGCAGGCTGGACCAAGCCCACCAGAGTCTTCCCTTATCAGAGCATTTAGCCCAGAAATAGACATAGGACCTAAATTGCCCCGATCTGAAGGGAAGAAATCATACAGAAGGTTCTTGCTCTTTCTCCCTCTCTCTCTCTTTGTCTCTCTCTGTTTCTTTCACTCTTTCTCTCTCTCTCTGTGTTTCTCTCTCTCTGTTTCCCCTCTTGCTCCAACTCCCTGGGAATACTGAACAGGGAATCATTTCCTCAGCAGTCAGCTTGCAAATGTAAATGGTTTATTAAACAACTCGAATTATGTGAGGCAGACAAAAATATGATGCATTTTTAAATCTCACCAACTATAAGGCCAACTGTATTCTGTCAAATCTCTTTTCTGCCATTGTATTATGAATCTATGGCAGATCCCATATCTTCTGGTCACTTGCATTACTAAAATCTTCAGTCAGTCTAATCCAATTTATAGACTTGGCTTTTGCAAGCAGCTTATCGCTCTTGTCTCCCTTTCCTAAGCACCTGGCTGGCTTTGGCTTGAGGAGCTCGAAATAGGAAGAGGGGCGGTGTCTGTGGTTTTGTTCTTCTCCTGCCTTCTCTAGTTCTATTTCCACTGGTATTGGGCACTGGGGGGACAGAAGGGAAATAGAGCAAATATTTCTTTCTTTATCTGGAAGTGCAACTGCAATTCTCTGATAGCCATTATTGCTTCCCTGGTTAATACAATTGCTGGCTATGTTCTCCTTGGGACGGAAAGCGAAATGTCTGCCATCTCATGAATATGTGTATGCATTTTGTGGAGGGCTCTGTGGGGTCACTTTTTTACCATTTCTCTGATGTGGGAGACACTACCCCAACTCCAGCTTTACCCCTTATCCCTGCAGCTGATGACCCAGCAATCCCCATCTCCCATTTCCCCCAATACCCAATAGGCAGCCCTCTTGGGCAGGATACCCACAAAACTTCTCAAGCACAGTGTGATGGTTAATTTTATGTGTCAGTTTGACTGGATTAAGGGATATGCAGATAGGGAAAACATCATTTCTCATGTGTCTGCCACAGTGTTTCTGGAAAAGATATGCATTGTAATCAGCAGACTGCATAATGAAGATCCACCTCACCAATGTGAGCAGGCATCACCCAATCCATTTAGGGCCTGAATAGAACAAAAAGGTGAAGGAATGGAAAGATATCCATTTTCTTGAAATCACCTATGCAAAATTATGACAGACATATCTGACATAGCTGACTCTATCTTGCTTCTGACCACCAAGCTGTCCTTGGTCATTCTTGGTCATAGGCCCAGCTAACTTTGGGAGGAATTTATAGTATAACTTTGAATCAAGAATAATAAAGTCCCTCCCTAAAAAAAATTTACCTCCCTTTTCCAGGGCTGGAATCACCTTTTATTTTTTATGTATTTATTTTTGAGATAGAGACTCACTCTCTCACCCAGGGCAGAGTACAGTGGCGCTATCACACCTCACTGCAGCCTTGATCTCCTGGGCTCAAGCAATTCTCCCACCTCAGCCTCCTAAGTAGCTGGGACTACAGATGTGTGCCACCATGACTGGCTTTCTTTTTTCTTTTTGGAGAGACAGGGTCCTACTGTGTTGCCCAGGTTGGTCTTGAACTCCAAGGCTCAAGTGATGCCTCCCGCCTTGGTCTCCCAAAGTGCTGGGATTACAGGTGTGAGCCACCATGCCTGGTCTGAATTGCTTTTGTAAGACTAGTGAAAGGCCACAAGATTAGATTTATGGAAGGGGCCTGAATTCTGCTAAAATGTAGGCATAGTTTCTGTAGTCTCAGGAGTCATGTGGCTTTGGTCACATGGTTTGTAAATTCCCCAGTTGTTCCTGTAGATAACATCACTATTGTAGAATCTAAGATTGGCTTTCTGAGATGTTGTTTAGACTGATTCCATCACCACCAGGCCTGCCTTACAAGAGCTCCTGAAGGAAGCACTAAACATGGAAAGGAACAACCGGTACCAGCCACTGCAAAAACATGCCAAATTGTAAAGACCATTGATGCTAGGAAGAAACTGCATCAACTAACGAGCAAAATAACCAGCTAACATCATAATGACCAGATCAAATTCACACATGACAATATTAACCTTAAATGTAAATGGGCTAAATGCTCCAATTAAAATACAGAATGGCAAATTGGATAGAGTCAAGAACCATCAGTGTGCTGTATTCAGGAGACCCATCTCACGTGCAAAGACACACATAGACTCAAAATAAAGGGATGGAGGAAGATCTACCAAGCAAATAGAAAGTAAAAAAAAAAGCAGGGGTTACAATCCTAGTCTCTGATAAAACAGACTTTAAACCAACAAAGATCAAAAGAGACAAAGAAGGCCATTACATAATGGGAAAGGGATCAATTCAACAAGAACTAAATATCCTAAATATATGTGCACCCAATACAGGAGCACCCAGATTCACAAAGCAAGTCCTTAGAGACCTACAAAGAGACTTAGACTGCCACACAATAATAATGAGAGACTTTAACACCCCACTGTCAACATTAGACAGATCAACGAGACAGAAAAGTTAACAAGGATACCCAGGACTTGAACTCAGCTCTGCATCAAGTGGACCTAATAGACATCTACAGAAGTCTCCACCCCAAATCAACAGAATATACTTTCTTCTCAGCACCACATTGCACTTATTCCAAAATTGACCACATAGTTGGAAGTAAAGCACTCCTCAGCAAATGTAAAAGAATAGAATTCTTAACAAACTGTCTCTCAGACCACAGTGCAATCAAATTAGAACTCAGGATTAAGAAATTCACTCAAAACCACACAACTACATGGAAACTGAACAACCTGCTCCTGAATGACTACCGGTTAAATAACAAAATGAAGGCAGAAATAAAGATGTTCTTTGAAACCAATGAGAACAAAGACACAACATACCAGAATCTCTGGGACACATTTAAAGCAGTGTGTAAAGGGAAATTTATAGCACAAAATGTCCACAAAAGAAAGTAAGAAAGATCTAAAATTGACACTCTAACATCACAATTAAAAAAACTAGAGAAGCAAGAGCAAACACATTCAAAAGCTAGCAGAAGGCAAGAAATAACTAAGATCAGAGCAGAACTGAAGGAAATAGAGACACAAAAAACCCTTCATAAAATCAATGAATCCAGGAGCTGATTTTTTTTAAAAGATCAACAAAATTGATAGAACCACTAGCAAGACTAATAAAGAAGAAAAAGAGAAGAATCAAATAGACGCAATAATAAATGATAAAGGGGATATCACCACCAATCCCACAGAAATACAAACTACCATCAGACAATACTATATACACCTCTACACAAATAAACTAGAAAATCTAGAAGAAATGGATAAATTCCTCGACACATACACCCTCCCAAGACTAAACCAGGAAGAAGTTGAATCTCTAAATAGACCAATAACGGGCTCTGAAATTGAGGCAATAATTAATAGCCTACCAACCAAAAAAAGTCCAGAACCAGATGGATTCACAGCCAAATTCTACCAGAGGTACAAAGAGGAGCTGGTTCCATTCCTTCTGAAACTATTCCGATCAATAGTAAAAGATAGACTCCCCCCTAACTCATTTTATGAGGCCAGCATCATCCTGATACCAAAGCCTGGCAGAGACACAACAAAAAAAGAGAATTTTAGACCAATATCCCTGATGAACATCGATGCAAAAATCCTCAATGAAATACTGGCAAACCGAATCCAGCAGCACATCAAAAAGCTTATCCACCACGATCAAGTGGGCTTCATCCCTGGGATCCAAGGCTGGTTTGACATATGCAAATCAATAAACAAAATCATTCACATAAACAGAACCAACAACAAAAACCACATGATTATTTCAATAGATGCAGAAAAGACCTTCAACAAAATTCAGTAGCCCTTTGTGCTAAAAACTCTCAATAAACTAGGTATTCATGGAACGTAGCTCAAAATAATAAGAGCTATTTATAACAAACCCACAGCCAATATCATACTGTATGGGCAAAAACTGGAAGCATTCCCTTTGAAAACTGGCACAAAACAAGGATGCCCTCTCTCTCCACTCCTATTCAACATAGTGTTGGAAGTTCTAGCTAGGGCAATCAGGCAAAAGAAAGAAATAAAGGGTATTCAATTAGGAAAAGAGGAAGTCAAATTGTCCCTGTTTGCAGATGACATGATTGTATATCTAGAAAACTCCATTGTCTCAGCCCAAAATCTCCTTAAGCTGATAAGCAACTTCAGCAAAGTCTCAGGTTACAAAATCAATGTGCAAAAATCACAAGCATTCTTACACACCAATAACAGACAGCCAAATCATGAGTGAACTCCCATTCACAATTGCTACAAAGAGAATAAAATACCTAGGAATCCAGCTTACAAGGGATGTGAAGGACCTCTTCAAGGAGAACTATAAACCACTGCTCAATGAAATAAAAGAGGACACAAACAAATGGAAGAACATTCCATGCTCATGGATAAGACGACTCAATATCGTGAAAATGGCCATACTGCCCAAGGTAATTTATAGATTCAATACCATCCCAATCCAGCTACCAATGACTTTCTTCACAGAACTGGAAAAATCTACTTTAAAGTTCATATGGAACCAAAAAAGAGCCCGCATTGCCAAGACAATCCTAAGCACAAAGAACAAAGCTGGAGGCATCACACTACCTGACTTCAAACTACACTACAAGGCTACAGTAACCAAAACAGCATGGTGCTGGTACCAAAACAGAGATATACACCAATGGAATAGGACAGAGTCCTCAGAAATAACACCACACATCTACAACCATCTGATCTTTGACAAACCTGACCAAAACAAGAAATGGGGAAAGGACCCCTATTTAATAAATGGTGCTGGGAAAACTGGCTAGCCATATGTAGAAAGCTAAAACTGGATCCCTTCCTTACACCTTATACAAAAATTAATTCAAGATGGATTAAAGACTTAAATGTCAGACCTAAAACCATAAAAACCCTAGAAGAAAACCTAGGCAATACCATTCAGGACATAGGCATGGGCAAGGACTTCATGACTAAAACACCAAAAGCAATGGCAACAAAAGCCAAAACTGACAAATGGGATCCAGTTAAACTAAAGAGCTTCTGCACAGCAAAAGAAACTGCATCAGAGTGAACAGGCAACCTACAGAATGGGAGAAAATTTTGGCAATCTACCCATCTGACAAAGGGCTAATATCCAGAATCTACAAAGAACATAAACAAATTTACAAGAAAAAAACAAATAACCCCATCAAAAAGTGGGCAAAAGATATGAACAGACACTTTTCAAAAGAAGACATTTATGCAGGCAACAGACACATGAAAAAATGCTCATCATCACTGGTCATCAGAGAAATGCAAATCAAAACCACGATGAGATACCATCTCACACCAGTTAGAATGGCGATCATTAAAAAGTCAGGAAACAACAGATGCTGGAGAGGATGTGGAGAAATAGGAATGCTTTTACACTGTTGGTGGGAGCGTAAATTAGTCCAACCGTTGTGAAAGACAGTGTGGCGATTCCTCAAGGATCTAGAACTAGAAACATCATTTGACCCAGAGATCCCATTACTGGGTATATACCCAAAGGATTATAAATCATGCTACTATAAAGACACATGCACACATATGTTTGTTGTGGCACTATTCACAATAGCAAAGACTTGGAACCAACCCAAATGTCCAACAATGATAGACTGGATTAAGAAAATGTGGCACATATACACCATGGAATACTATGCAGCCATAAAAAAGGATGAGTTCATGTCCTTTGTAGCAATATGGATACAGCTGGAAACCATCATTCTGAGCAAACTATCACAAGGACAGAAAACCAGACACCGCATGTTCTCACTCATAGGTGGGAATTGAACAATGAGAACACTTGGACACAGGGTGGGGAACATCACACCCCAGGGCCTGTCGTGGGGTGGGGGCAAGGAGTGGGATAGCATTAGAAGAAATACCTAATGTAAATGATGAGTTAATTAGTGCAGCAAACCAACATGGCACGTGTATATCTATGTAACAAGCCTACATGTTGTGCACATGTACCCTAGAACTTAAAGTATAATAAATTAAAAAAAAAGAAAAGAAAATTAGCTCAAAGCAGTCTGAGCTACATGAGGTATGAGAAATGTATCATGCCCAGAGTGGCATAAGTAAGAGACTTGAATCTCGACCCGCTCCACATACACACCTATGCCTAGGGTCAATTGTTTAAAGGCATTTGTTGTTTATTGTCTTAGAGTTGCATAAAGTGACCCTCACCCATTATCTTCATGTTCCTGAAATTTGTGATACAAAGAACAGTGTATAGCCAATCAATAGCTTATGCTATTTTAATGAATCAATGTGAGAACTGTCCCTTATTTTTTCCTTTAAACACCCACTTGTAACTGCTGCTAATTGGACAATATATTCAGGGCAATTTGAGTCTGTTTCTCCTGTGTTGTGGTCCTCAGATTTGGCCCAAATAAACCCTCTACTTATATTAATTTTGCCTTAGTTTCTTTCTTAGGTCGACAGGATCAATGTTCAGAGAAGACTGTCAATGGTCAGAGAAACAGTGACAACCGTGACACAGAGTGTTTCAAAATTGGCTAGATAAGTAGAATTTTGTTCTTTTTTCTTCTGCCTCCCTTTCCCTCCAACCTGTTGGAGAAATTTAAAACCAAGAAAACAGCACAGCTACATAATCAGCAAGCCCCAGTGTAAAATGAAAGTGTAGGGCCCCTTTTTCTAAAATTATTAAGAATTTCAAGATGGCAACAGCAAAGCATTAAACCAAGTGCATGATTTCACAAAGTGTAGGGCCTAGGTGGCTACACGGGCAGCACACCCATGAAGCCTGTGGAAAAGTAAAGGAACAAATAAAACCATGCCCTCTTCTCCTTATAGTTCCTTCAGGCCATAATCAAACCTGAGTGATAAGAGGAGGCAGTAAGACAGGTATTTAAAATTGGTTTGGAAAGGTAAGTGGACAACAATTAAATACTTGTATGTTTGTAGCCTGCAGAGTTCATATTGCTTAATAAACCCAATTATAAATGCATGAAATCAGTTTGAGGACAATATCCACATTTAAGAAATGCAACTTGTGATAACATTTTAGATAATTTATCAGCTCATCTACAAACTACAAGGAAGACAAGAAAGAACAAAATGCCTTTAAACAGTTTCCTCTGGGCATGAGTGGGTACGTAGAGGGGGTCAAGACTGAAAATTTGGGGACGGGTACTGCTGAGAAAACTACAGAGGATCAGATCTAAACCCTCAACTTACCCTGCTCAGAGCTGCCCTATGTCTACCTATATAAAATCATAAAAGTCTTCATTATTGTTTTATAAGTAGAAATACATATATTTTAGTATCATTAACTACTCTAAAAAATGAACCTCAAAGTAATGTAAGTTTATTCGTCCCTCGCTTACCAGTTCAGTGAGGTAACTTTTTGAATTCAATGGAAATGATGTTACACAGTTCTGATTGTGGCCTGCAAAAGGCCTGCCAATCTTCATATTCTCTTGGGGAAAACTAGCAGCAATATAAGTATTGTTAGCACTAGGGAAATGTATCCGAGTTACGCAGCACCAAAGTATGTCAGCAGCGGTGAATCCACACGGGTTTGCAGCAACGTTAATTCTTGCCATCTCAGAAGAAAGAATTTGACCAAGGGGCATAAGGCAGAGTGAGAGACTGAGGCAAGTTTTAAAGTGGGAGTGAAAGTTTATTAAAAAGCTTTAGAGCAGGAATCAAAGGGAGTAAAGTATTCTTGGAACAGGGCCAAGCGGGCAACCTGAGAGATCAAGTGCACGGTTTGACCTTTGACATGTGGTTTATACCTTGGCATGGGTGCAGGGGGTTGCATCTCTTCTCCCCTGCCTCTCCCCTTAGGGTGGGCTGTCCACATGCACTGTGGCCTTCTAGCACTTGGGAGGGGCCTCGTGCACAGTGCTTGCTGAAGTTATGCACGTGTTCCCTTGAGGCATTTTTCCCTTACCAGTCAAGTTACCAGTTACCAGTTAAACTCCGCCATTTTGTCTCTTAGTGCATATGCTTGAGCCTACTCACCCATTTCCTGAGATCTTATCTGGAAGCTGCTGATCATCCGTTCCTGGTGTTTCTATCTATTGGGAGACTACCTTTCCCTGGCACCAGCTGTGACCCAACTATTATTTCAGAGAGGCAGTTTAACGACCACCTGACCATCACCTGATGGTTGCCAGACATCCCTTGGAGTTGTCGGGTGGGGGGAGGGGGGCTGTCTCCTGCCCTGCTTCTGTCTGACTACCTACTGTAACAGTATTACTATCCTGAGACCACCATACTATGAGGAAGCCCAAGCTGGTCACGTGAAAAAAGAGGTCATGGGAAGGAGCACCGAGGTGACAAATATGGGAGGGACTCATTCTTGTATCTTCCATCCCAGTCCAGCCCAGTTGTCAGCTGAATGCTGCCAACACAGTGACCAGCTGATACCACATGGAGCAGAAGAACTAATCAGCTGAGCCTTGCTCAAATTCCTCATCCACCAAATCATGAGAAAAAATAAATGGTGTTATTTAAAGCCATTAAGTTTGGGGGTAAAACAGTATGTTACTCAGCAATTGATAACCAAATCACAGTTATCCATAAAAAATGAAAAATATTGAATAAAATGTAAATATTTCAAATATCTTTAAAGTAATGGAAGTTATTGTTTAAATTTGAGTTATATTGTCAGAGGTACTCCTGTTAAATGATACAAGAGAATAAGCACATATTTAACTAAATAAATTCAGTTAAATTGTATAGTTAGGTAAATTTAGTTAATATGTTATAAACTGTGTAACAAAACACTATATTTATAATGTATATCATATTGTACAAAAACAAATCATGCTATTTAATGCTCTACAACTGATAAATAAAAAAATCTCCACAGTAACTGGACAGAAGATAATAATGACAATTAATAAATAGTGAAAGAAAAAGACCAAAAAGCATGCAGAAAAATTATCTGCTTCTTCAGCCATCAGGAATATGCAAATAAAAATAAAACTAAGATATGATTAGCAACAATTTAAATCATTGATAACATTCAGTGCTAGCAAAGGTAGAGGGAAACAAGCACTCTCATGCAATGCTGATGGAAATGCAGAATGCTAAAGCTTTGGGGGACATTTTGGCAGCATTATTAAGATATGTAAACAAATAACTTTATACCTCTTATAGAAAGTTACATTTAACCAATTAAGAATCATCTGGCCTGGTTGGCAGTGCTGGACTTACTTCTGCAACCTAAGCCAAGAAGCTTGGTTTGAAGACAAATAAAAAGGTAATTTATGAATTACGCCAGAGAAACCATGAAGCTGCCATCTGCCTTGCTCTCATCACATACACATTCTGAGACAAAGATTAGACATAAATAGAGTTACAGTGAGATAGTCTGAGGGATTAGTGGGGAATAATGACTGTTAGAGTCTATTATTAGTTACTGTTAGAGTCTATTAATGACTAGAGCCTGAAAGCTCAAGTCAGATGTAGGAAATCAGAAATGGAAGAGGTGTAGCGAAGATACAAAAGAAAGAGTGTAAGTCACAGTAGGGGGACTCAAAGCTGAGACAATATAGGACACAGAGAGTGGGAGAATGGGAAGACTCATGATTCAGAAGTGCTTGGAGTCTAAATGTAGGCAGCCTTGAACAAACAGCTAAGAACGTAGGATCCATCCATACAATGCAGTGTTTTATTCACACTTGTGTGGTTTTTGTTTTGCTTTGCTTTTTGTATGTGTTTTGATAATTTTCTTTATTGAAACTATAGTGTTCAACTAAAAATTACAGTTGACTCAAATAACACAGGTTCAAATTGCATGGGTCCGCTTATACGGGGACCCATGCGATAAAAATATTGGAAAATATATTTATTTTGGAGTTTTGCTACAATTTGAAAAAGCGTGCAAACTGCATAACCTAGAAATATGGACACAATTAAGAAGTCAGGTATGTTATGAATGCATAAAATATATATAAATACTAGCTTGTTATATCATTTGTTAGCATAAAATATACACAAACCTATTATAAAAAATTTATCAAAACTTACGCACACAGATTGTACGTGATGTCATTCACCATCAAGAAAAATGTAAACAAACATAAAGATGCAGTATTGAATCATAACCGCATAAAAATAACCGTAGTATTTATTGTGCTACCATAACAATTTTGTGTTCACCTCCTGTTGTTATTGAAATAGCTCAAGTGTGGCAAGTAGCCTCTTAAAAAGCCGTGTGATGCCAATCATCTCTGTGTGAGCAGTTCATCTCTCCAGCAAATTGCAAAGCACAGTAAAAAATGATCTCTCTTAGATTTTTCATTGTATTTAATTCAGTACTGTAAACCTTCACTAACAGCATGGGACTCATATAAAGTGCCACTAGTGATGCTGGAAGTGGTTGCAAAAAGTAGAGAAAAGTCATAACATTACAAGAAAAAGTTGAATTTCTTGATATGTGTCATAGATGGAGGTCTACAACTGTGGTTGCCCACTATTTCAGACAGACAATTCATCTTATAAACAGATTGCATAAACATATTGTATCAAAAAGTATGGCACAATACTGTAAATGTATTTTATCTTCCTTATAATTTTCTTTTTATTTAATTTTTAAAGAACAGAGCTTTATTTCTTACAGTTCTAAAGGCTGTGAAGTCTCCTTATGATTATCTTACAACAGTCTCTTTTCCCTAGCTTCCTTTATTATGAGAATACCATATATAATACATATACTGTGCAAAATAGGTGTTAATCGACTATGTTATTGTTAGGCTTCTGGTCAACTGTATGCTATTAGTAAAGTTTTTGGGGAGTCAAAAATTATACATGGATTTTTGACTGTCCTGGGGGTCAGCACTGGTGACTCATGAATTGTTCAAGGGTCAATTATACAATAAAAATAGGTAATGTGTATTTTTTATTATTCTAGTATTCTAGGTATAGACAAACTATTGCCATAATTCCAGTTACATAGAGTAGCTTAATATATGATGTGGGTTCTGTGATTCAAATTGTACTTTGATAAATGAGAAGCTCTAGTGATGTCTGCTTTATTTTTTGAGACAGAGTCTCACTCTGTCACCCAGGCTGGAGTACAGTGGCACAATCTCAGCTCACTGCAACATCTGCCTCCTAGGCTCAAGTGATCCTCCTGCCCCAGCCTCCCAAGTAGCTGGGACCACAGTCATGCACTGCCACACCCAGCTAATTTTTCTATGTTTTGTAGAGATGGGGTTTGCCATGTTGCCCAGGCTGGTCTCGAACCCCTGGTCTCAAGCAGTCCACCTGCCTCGGCCTCCCAAAGTGCTGAGGACTACAAGTGTAAGCAACCATGCCTGGCTAACATCTGCTTTACTGATGACAGGAAACAGCACCTGCCAAAGGAGTGCTGGACTTGGGGTAGGAAATGTGACCTTGATCCTCATATGTCACTGACCATCTGTGTATCTTTGAGAAAATTACTGACCTTCCTGAGCCTCAGTTTATCCTTCTGTAAAAGGGGTATCAGTATACCTCAATTACAGGGTTGTTGTAAGTAATCAATACAACAACATTCCCAAACACACTTTGTAAGCAGCAAGGTGCAAAGCCAGTGTGATTCCTGAACCCTTGACTCTATTTTGAAAAGGTCACCCTAAATGATGTCTGCTCAGAAAAGGACATATTAGTCTAAAGAGACAGAGTTAAAAACAGGCTGAAGTATTTATAAACCTAGTTTTCACTTGGATAAAGCATATTTTTGACAGGTAATTTTCAAGGGAAGCTTTCAAGTGTCAGGTTCATGGACCCATGAATAGAGTCTATAATTGAGGGTAGTCAACGTTAGCTTGAAGCTGAGTTACTAAGATCTTAGATAACATAAATAAGGTTTTTAAGAGTTAAGCCTTTATATAATACGTTGTATTGTACCCTCTCATTCTCTATATTTTTCCAGAGAATATTTATGAGATTTCTCCTATCTCAGTTCCATAAGAATACAGGTCTCTGGTTTATTTTGAAAATGTGTTGTTAATGAAACAATTAGGTAATCTCCTTTTAGTGTGACATAATTATAGTCTGGTTCCTGTGATTTCAGTGGCCAAGGATGTTAGATATTATTTACTCCAGTCATAACACTTCCTTGCCATTTTCCCCCAAATGATCAATGATCTTGCAGAACTTTACATAAGCTGTTTCTCTGCCTGGAATACACCTTCTCCTATCATGGACACTTGAAGGTGACTCTACTTGCGTCTATTTGTCACATCCCAATGACTGCTAATTTTCATCTATGTATCTGCTTGCTTAAGAGGGAAACTAATGGCTTTCCAGCCTAGAGGGGTAGATATGTACCTAGATTAGACCAGTCACTGCATTATATTTCTTTGGACAAGGGGTTGATTTAACAGTGAACATATGACCAAATCTAGAGGGTTGGGCTAGATTTTGTTGACTATTGTGGTCTAATTAAATTGATTGGTCAGGATAAATGGGCTTTTTTCTTTATTTTTATTTTCCATTTTTCTAACTTGTTCACTAAGTATTTGTGGCATTTCACATGGTTCTATTGAATTAGGGTTTCCTGGGACTAAAATGTATTTCTTTCTAAATATTGGGAAGATCATTCTGACCATCTGTTTATATAGTTCAACTAATATTGGAGCTTAAGTTAAAGTGATTAAAAGTCTCTCCAAGAAGTCTTGGTATTTTGCTGCGGAATGAAATTTGCATAAGCCAGGGATATCTCCTCTAGTAACCGGTAGCTCCATAAATCTATTAAAATAGGTGTTCAATAAAGCACCATGAAAATCATATCAGACAACTTGGTTAAGTTATTGCAGTAATTCATGCTACTAAGGAGATTTGTCCTTAGTGTGCATACAGCTTTTCCTAGTTTTGATAAGGTGATTTTTTTATTTTTATTTTATTTTATTTAGAGAGGGAGTCTCACCATGTTGCTCAGGCTGATCTCAAACTCCTAGGCTCAAATGATCCACATGCCTCAGCCTCCCAAAGTGCTGAAATTACAGGTGTGAGCCACTGTGCCCAGCCCAAGGTGATTTTTTTTAATGCAGCTGATTTTTCGACACTTCTCCAATTGACTAGTGTCTATGTCCGCTAAGCTTGAATTTAGGTGGGGTTCTGACTTCTTCACACACAAGTGTTTGGTTGAAGTGAGGTAATGTGTCTCCTAAAGCTAGGTCATCAAACACAGTACATCTTCTGCCTGTTGCTCTTGGGTGTTCACCATGAAAGAATCCATCTGCCATGTTTTAAAAAACAAAACCAAACAGATCAGCCTGAAACTACCATGTTGGAGAAACCAAGTAGGCTCGCTAGGACTGTAAACAGGAAAGCCTGTCTTTCAAGTCATCCATCCCACTCACACATGCCATTGATCAGAGATAAACTAACCCTGCTCTGTCTTATCTAAATTCCTAAGCCACAGAATTTGTTAGCATAAGGTTGTTTTTTTGTGCCATTATGTTTTCAGTGGTGTGTTATGCCACATAGTAACAGGAATATTTGCCTTTATTCCTCTTCAAGAATAGATTTCAAGATTTTTCTTTGATACGTTTCAGCTACTATGTGTGTAGATATGGTTTTTTAAAATTATACTTAGGATTTAATAAACTTTTTGAATCTGTGGTTAGCTTCTTAAATAGTTCTGGAAAATTCTCAGCCATTTCTGTACCCTTCTCACTCTCTCCTTCCTTTCCATGTCTCCAATTAAACATGGCAGATTTTTCCACAGTGTTTCATCCACCCTTCTAGTATCTCTCCATGCTAGATAATTTCTTCTGACCATTTTTCAGTTCACACATTCTCTCTTCAGCTTAGCCTGCTGTTAAACTCATCAATTGTGTCTAAATTTCAGTTACTGTTTTTCAGTTGTAGAAGTTCTATTTGGTCCTTTAAAAAATCTATTATGTCACTTTTTATTACAGCTCTCTATTCACTAAATACATTTCCAAGTATAGATTTTTTTTTTGAGACAGAGTCTCCCTTTGTTGCCCAGACTAGAGTACAGTGGCATGATCTCAGCACACTGCAACCTCTGAGTAGCTGGCACTACAGGTGTGCGCCACCACACTCAGCTAATTTTTGTATTTTCAGTACAAACAGGGTTTCACCATGTTGGGCAGGCTGGTGTCGAACTCCTGACCTCAAGTGATCTGCCTGCCTCAGCCTCCCAAAGTACTGAGATTACAGATTTGACTCATGGAGGCTGAACCCAAGTTTAGATATTTTAAATATTTCTTCAAATAAGCATAGTCAGTTGTCTTTTGGTTTGTGTCTAATAATTTCTTGATCTAAAGTCTATTGCTGTGGCCTGTTGTTTTGCTGGACCTCATTCATGTCCCCTATGTTCTCTGAGCATCTGGTATCTTTGATAGCATGTTAGATATCTACTTTAAAAACTATAACTAACCTGCACAATGTGCACATGTACCCTAAAACTTAAAGTATAATAAAAAAAATTAAAAAAAATAAAAATAAAAAATAAAAAATAAAAAATAAAAAAAATAAAAATTTTGTGCAACTCAAAAAAAAAAAAAGAAAATTGAAATTCAGATCTAAAGGTATTAGTAAAGTAAGAGAATGTCAAATGAATACAAATATATATATATATACATATATACACACACATATGTCTATATAAAACAATGCATGAATAAATAATAATGGGAAAGTATATTAATTGAATGAATGCATTTTAAATGTGATTTTAATAGTTGCCTGATAGTTATTATAAATGTTTTTATTTTTACAAATATATACTTTCCTATTTGCTTATCTCTTATTAATTCGCATTTTTTAAATTAGTCTTCTTGGGATACTAGACATGAATTTATATGACGTAGAATAACAATTATGTATTCTTTCAATTCAATTTTTTTATAACCTGCTACATTTTCAGGCCAATATTAACATATTATTTACATCCTAACGTACTTTCTTATACTTTAACACTTTTGAAATATAGGTGAAATCTTATAGTTGTTATATACATTTAATGTGATTGTGGTTTTAACAAAAACCTATTCAATTGAAAGCTTTAATTAAAATTTGTAGTATCATAGACTGTGAGCAGTATGATAATTATAGCAGTAACAGTAAAATTTTTTCTTTCCTATTTTTACTGCAATACCTCTGATAGTTCTATATTTAAGTATAGTAATACTAAAAGCTTGCATTTATAGATAACTTAATATGTAGCAAGGATTATCCTAAGAGCATTATATTTATTAACTTATTTAATCCTGGAGAAAACCCTTAGAGGAGGTACTGTTTTTATGAACATATTTCTGATGAAGGAACTGCAATATGGTAATTTGCTAAGGCTTACCCAACTGGTCCATGGTAGAACGTGAGAAGGAAAGGATCAGTGTCTATCTTCAGAGACCAAGCTTAATCCTTTGCTATCCAAACGTCTTAGTATAGCAGTTAGCTGACCGTTTTAACAGCTAATAGTGATCATTATTCTGTTAAACTTACAATGCTTCATATCTAATTTTTAAATGAAATTTTTTTAATGAGGAAAGGGCTTTAGCTTTTATTGAATCAATTCCAAGTGCTGAAATAATCATATAAATGTTATTTGTCATACAAATATATTTTGCCTATTTCTCTTTTATAAACTGAATAAACTATCTTATAAGATTAAAAAAACCTCATTTTAGATAGAAATATAGAAATATGCTTAATATAAAGCTTTTAAAAGCTGGGGTGTTTTATTGACAATATGAATATTTTTTGTTATTATTTATGGTGTGTTTTTACCTTAATTTTTTTCTAACTTTCTTTAGATTAATATTTATTACTTTTCTTTCATTATGTTATAATTTGTTTGGTTGTAGCATATTATTCTGTTAGTATATTGGGTTTCTTGCTATCTCTAGCAAAGTGAAATGTATTTACAATTATTCGTTCCAGTATAATCAGCAATTATCCCTGGACCAATCTGTTCCGCCAGGGAGAGTGTGAACTGGTTTACATGTTTGTTTTTCCTTTTTACATTGAAAAATACAAAGCAAGTTTATAAAATATAAATCAAATAAGGTAATTCTGCATTTTGAAGTGTTGTACAACTTTATCTAGAAAGATATTTCCATTTATTTAGTAAAGTTTTATTTCTTTATTTTAATAAAAGGCTCACATTTAAAAAAAAAAAAAAAACTATCTATACAAGTAATTTTAGTCCTGTGATGATGAAACCATTCTCTTGTGGCAATTTTTGTTTGCTTCTGCCAGGCACATGAGAAATCTTTCAGTCTGAGACCTCCTTAAGATAATTTTATATTTTATCCAGTTCATTTTAGTTGTTTCATTGGAGGTTTTGTTCAAACTACCTAGCTCATCGTTACCTAATAAGTTCAGGGCATGGTAGACTAATAAAGATCATAACCTCTTAACTTTAACATGAATACGAATTACTTTGATGTTAACTAGTGGAATTGACAACAGTAATTCAGATTCCAATTCAGTAGGCCTGGAGTAGTGACCAAATTTCTGTATTTTTAACAAGCTCCTAGATGAAGGCAATGCTAAACTTTGAATAGGAAGAAGGCAGATACATTGTAAAGCTGGATAGGAATATTAAATGAGAGTTGGGGGAATTAAAACATATGCCAACTTAATTGTATAAAACAATATGGTGCCCCAAGTCAAACATGTTGAAACCTTTCCTTTGCAATACATTAGATATCTACATACCTGGATATCTAGATCTAATATACTAGATATCTAAAACCTAGATACCAAGGTACCTAGAGACTGAAGCATGTCTGAGAGTACCTGATGCAATGGTGAAGTTTTAGTGGAGATGATTTGCAAGGAGTGAGGAATTTATAGAGGATAGTAAAATACTTGCTCCTTACTCTACCTCTCACAAACAGGTATTTAAGCCCTGAAGAGGGCAGGTTGTAGATAAAAGCTGAAGAAGCTACGTTCATGTTTCATGAGACACAGGAGTATAAGGAAAAGGCCACTTATCAGGACTTGCAGCTTTGGAAACTCTGGAAAACCTACCCTTTACCCATTCCCAGTAACTGGTACCTGTATCACATACTATGGAGGCATTAAAAAATACTGGCTGCAGCTGGGCATGGTGTCTCATGCCTGTAATCCCAGCACTTTGGGAGGCCGAGGTGGGTGGATCACTTGAGGTCAGGAGTTCAAGACCAGCCTGGCAAACATGGTGAAACCCCATCTCTACTAAAAATACAAAAAATTAGCTGGATGTGATGATGCTTGCCTGTAATCCCAGCTACTCCAGAAACTGAGACAGGAGAATTGCTTTAACCCATGAGCCAGAGGTTTCAGTGAGCTGAGATCGTGCCACTGCACTCCAGCCTGGGTGACAGCGTGAGACTTTGTCTCAAAAATAAAATAAAATAAAATAAAGAAAAAGAAAAAACACACATGCAAATACTGGCTGCCATGACTCTTAGTGGTGGATCAAAAAGAAAAAAAAATTTAAAATACCAGGTGACTGAATGATTTGCAGAGTGTATTAGTCAGTTTTCACACTGCTGAAAAAGACATACCTGAGACTGGGAAGAAAAAGAGGTTTTAATGGACTTAAGAGTTGCATGTGGCTGGAGAGATCTCACAATCATGGCAGAAAGTGAAAGGCACGTCTCACATGGCAGCAGATAAGAGAAGAGAGATCTTGTGCAAGGAAACTCCCCTTATTAAAACCATCAGATCTCATGAGACTTATTTGCTATTACAAGAATAGCATGGGAAAGACCAGTCCCCATGACTCAATTACCTCCCATTTGGCCCCTCCCACAACACATGGGAATTATGGGAGTATAATTCAAGATGAGATTTGGGTGGGGACACAGAGCCAAACCATATCACAGGGTGAGTGGTATTTCTCAGATTCAGTCCAAGGACATAATCAAGGCAGTCTAGAACTAAACATCTTAACTAAACTCTGCATTGACATGAAACATCTCCAGGGGCCCCTAGAAATCATTAGGAGAGATTTTAAATTGAGATCCTTCAGAATACAAGTGAAGATAAGAAGGCAGTGGAATTTGAGCAATTATTATTAACATTGACCTTATTTGAACTAAGGAAATGAAGAAGCCTGGGGATTAACAATGAACTGTAAGCAATTAGTCTATCAGATACCATCAAGGCACTGTGCTCCTGACAAGTCTAATCAATGTTTGCAGCAGACATAAAGAGCATGAAATATTGACTCTATCCTCAAGAAGTTGTAAGATTAAGAAAAAATGTATTAAACACTAAAAAACTATAGATATAGACATAGTTATAGATATCTCATTTTTGGCATCTCAAGGCCATCTATATTAAATTTCAACATGAGGGGTGATTCTTAACTAGTGGAGGTAGTACAGCATATTGGAAAGTGTATAAGATTTTAAGGCAGACATTTCAGGGTTCAAATCTGTGCTCTGTCATCACTAGTTGGGTCATTTAGGGTTGGTTAGCTAGGTTCTTAAATTCCAGACAGTCTGCGAAGTTTAAAAGTGATAACCTTTACAAACCACTTGCCACATATTAGACATTTAAAGGCAAATGTAAATATCTTTACTTCTCCCTTTCCTCAGTGTATTAGCCTGTTTTCATGCTGCTGATAAAGACATACCCAAGACTGGGCAATTTACAACAAAAAAAAAAAGAGGTTTAATTGGACTTATAGTTTCACGTGGCTGGGTAAGCCTCAATCATGGCAGAAGGCAAGGAGGAGCAAGTCATATCTTACACGGATGGCAGCAGGCAAAGAGAGAAAACTTGTGCAGGAGAACTTCTCTTTTTGAAACCATCAGATCTCATGAGACTTATTCAGGATCATGAGAACAGCACAGGAAAGACTTGCCCCCATGATTCAGTTACCTCCCACCAGGTCCCTTCCACAACACTTGGGAATTCAAGATGAGATTTTGGTGGGGACACAGCCAAACCATATCACTCAGAATCAAAAACTTAAAAAGATGTTTAAACTCTAAGTTTTCTCCAATTAGGATTGTAATGACAGAAAATCTGGACTATTTTGAGGAGACATGCTCTGAAAAATCAACATCACTATTGCATAAAAAATTAAAGCAATAGAAATGTAAGTCCTCTTACTTCTCTTCACTCCATTTTTAGAAAACCAATGCAACAGTCCAGGAGCATTGATTTATTTGGTCACACCATTCCAAAATTGAAGCAAACAAACCTGAGATAATTAACTAATAAATTTTGTTCTAATTTAATTAAAAAGGAAAAGGATAATTCTCTCCTATTCCCAAAGTAGATTATTCTCAGATTATTTTTTTAAAAGCAGATGTAGGGGGTACAAGTGCAGGTTTCTTACACGCATATATTGTGTAGTGATGGAGCCTGGACTTTTAGTGTACCTGTCACCCCAATAGTGAACATTGTACCCAACAGGTAATTTTTCAACCCTCACCTCCCTCCTGCTAAACCTTTTTTAATATAAATGTGGTAAGCATAAATGACAAATTTTTATTATTTAGAAAAGACATACATGCTAAAATGCAAATGTAATGCTCTCCTATATTTTCATCCTGACCAGTTTGGACATATTTACTAATAATTACTTGTGGAAATATGCTCCACAAAGCATATCTTCCTAGAACTACAGTGCACTTATTTATCCCAGCAGTAACTACATTCTGGTGCTTACCTAGCATCACTGGAAATGAGTATTCAGCATCAACATGGCAAGTTTCAAATTGGAATCCACTTTAGGTAATGAAAAGTCCATTTTCATACTGCAATAAAGAACCACCCAAGACTGGGTAATTTATAAAGGCAAGAGGTTTAATGGACTCACAGTTCAGCATGGCTGGATAGGTCTCAGGAAACTTACGATTATGGCAGAAGGCAAAAAGAAAGCAAGGCACCTTCTTCACAAGGCAGCAGGAAGGGGTGCTGAGCAAAGGAGGGAAGAGCCTATTATAAAACCATCAGATCTCATAAGAACTCACTCACTATCAGAGAACAGCATAGGGGAAACAACCCCCCTGAGATTTGGGTGGGGAAAGAAAGCCTAACCATATCATTCCACCTGCCCCTGGACCCTCCCAAATCTCATGTCCCTTTCACATTTCAAAACCAATCATGCCTTCCCAACAGTCCTCCTAAGTTTTTTTTTGTTTTTTGGGTTTTTTTTGGTTTTTTTTTTTTTTTTTGAGATGGAGTTTTGCTCTGTTGCCCAGGCTAGAGTGCAGTGGCATGATCTTGGCTCACTGCAACATCTGCCTCCTAGCTGCAGGTGATTCTCCTGCCTCAGCCTCCCAAGCAGCTGGGATTACAAGCATGCACCACCACACCCAGCTAATTTTCTGTATTTTTGTATGGATGGGGTTTCACCATGTTGGTCAGGCTTGTCTTGATTCCTGACTCAAGTAATCTGCCTGTCTTGGCCTCCCAAAGTGCTGGGATTACAGGCATGACCCACTGCACCTGGCCTTAAAGTCTTAATTCATTCCAGCATTAACCCAAAAGTCCAAGTGCAAAGTCTCATCTGAGATGAGGCAAGTCTCTTCCACCTATGAGCCTGTAAAATCAAAAGCAAGTTAGTTACCTCCTAGATACAATGGGGCTACAGGCATTGGTTAAATACAGCTGTTCCAAATAGGACAAATTGACCAAAACAAAGGGGCTACAGGCAAGTCCGAAATCCAGTGGGGTAGTCAAATGTTAAAGCTCTGAAATGATCTCCTTTGACTCCACATCTCACTTCGAGGTCACACTGATGCAAGAGGTGGGCTCCTATGGCCTTGGGCAGCTCCACCCCTGTGGCTTTGCAGTGTATAGCCCCCTTTTTCACTGCTTTCACAGGCTAGCATTGAGTGTTTCTGGCTTTTCCAGGTGCACAGTGCAAGCTGTCAGTGGATCTACCATCTGGGGTCTGAAGGATGGTGGCCCTCTTCTCACAGCTCCACTAGGCAGTGTCCCAGTAGGGATTCTGTGTGTGGGCCCACACCCCACATTTCCCTTCCACACTGCCCTAGCAGAGGTTCTTCATGAGGGCTCCACCCCTGCAGCACACCTCTGAAGCCATGGCCTGAGCTGTGCCTTGGACCCTTTTAGCCATGACTAAAGTAGCTGGGATACAGGGTGACAAATCACTAGGCTTCACAGAGTAGGGGGGCCCTGGGCCCCACCCATAAAACAATTTTTTCCTTCTAGCCCTCCAGTCCTGTGATGGGAGGGGCTACTGCAAAGATCTCTGACGTGCCCTAGAGACATTTTCCCTTTGCCTTGGCAATTAACATTTGGCTCCTCCTTAATTATGCAAATTTCTACAGCAGGCTTGAATTTCTCCTCAGAAAATGGGTTTTTCTTTTATACTTCATTGTCAGGCTGCAAATTTTCTGAACTTTTATGCTCTGCTTCCCTTTTAAACAGGAGTTTCAATTCCAAACCATGTCTTTGTGAATAAAGCTGAATGCTTTTAACAGCATTCAAGTCCCATCTTGAATGCTTTGCTGCTTAGAAATTTCTTCCACCAGATACCTTAAATCATCTCTCTCAAGTTCAAAGTTCCACAGATCTCTAGGGCAGGGGCAATATGCCACCAGTCTCTTTGCTGAAGCATTGCAAGAGTGACCTTTACTTCAGTTCCCAACAAGTCCCTCATCTCCATCTGAGACCACCTCAGCCTAGATTTCATTGTCCATATCATTATCAGCATTTTGGTCAAAGCCATTCAGCATGTCTCCAGGAAGTTTCAAACTTTCCCACATCTTCCTGTCTTCTTCTAGCCCTCCAAACTGTTCCAACCTCTGCCTGTTACCCAGTTCCAAAGTTGCTTCCACATTTTTGGGTATCCTTACAGCAGCACCCCACTACCTCAGTACCAATTTACTGTGTTAGTCTGTTTTTACGCTGATATAAAGAACTGCCTGAGACTGGATAATTTATAAAGGAAAAAGGCTTAATGGACTTACAGTTAAGCATGGCTTGGGAGGCCTCAGGAAACTTACAATCATGACAGAAGGCAAAGAAGAAGCAAGGCACCTTCTTCACAAGGTGTCAGGAAGGAGAGATGCCAAGCAAAGCGGGGGGGGGGGGGGCAGAGCCTCTTATAAAAACATCAGATCTCGTGAGAACTCACTCACTAGCATGAGAACAGCTTGGGGGAAACTACCCCCATGATTCAATTACCTCCACCTGGTCTCTCCCTTGACACATGGGGACTGTGGGAGTTATCAGGATTACAAGTCAAGATGAGATTTGGGTGGAGACACAAAGCTTAACCATATTATACACTTTCAAATTAGCCTTCCTAAATGTCCACAATTAATTAAATCTGAACTCTTAATTTTTTATGTGTCAGAAATTATTAATGTGGGGGCTTGGGAAAAGTGTGTTTTATAACAGATACTCAGTTGGGCATACAAACATTGACACCCCCAGAATTTCCATATAGTAGGAGCAGCTTAGCAGGAAAAAGCTGTGCTTGAAGTGAAGCATACTGACTTTGAGTCTTTTATGTTTGTCTAAAGGGGCTTTAAGCAATCCGTTGGTGGAGGAAGAAAGCTTTAGCCTTCCCTTGACCGCAATCCCTTGGTGGTAACAGGTCTGCAAATATATTTTCTTTCATGGAAAACAACAGGCCCTTATAAGAATACTTATTCAGTAGTCGTTTCAACTCTCATCGATTGTTTCAGTGAAGGAGAAAAACGTGTTAGAGTTGAAGCCTAACATTTGAAGATCCTTTTCTGGCAATAGAAGAGAAAGTGTGATTTGTATGTGCCTCTTATCCAGATCTCAGTATGAATAAAGAGACAAAGTCTAAAGATAGTTAGACCCAGACAAAAGAAGAATAGAAGTGCTAAAATTTTTTTTTTCTTTTTTTGAGACAGAGTCTCAGTTGCCCAGGCTGGAGTGCAGTGGCGCGATCTCGGCTCACTGCAACCTCCGCCTCCTGAGTTCAAGCGATTCTCCTGCCTCAGCCTCCCAGTAGCTGGGATTACAGGCACCTGTCACCACGCCCAGCTAACTTATTTTTTGAATTTTTAGTAGAGACGGGGTTTCACCACGTTGGCCAGGCTGGTCTCAAACTCCTGACCTCAAATGATTCGCCTGCCTCAGCCTCCCAAAGTGCTGGGATTACAGGCATGAGCCACTGCACCTGGCCAGAAGTGTTAACTTTTATAATTCCACATAAAATATCCTTTAAGTACACTGTAAGTATAGCTTAATGCTTGGAAGGGGAATTTGGCTGCCCGACTGAGCTTTAACTTGAATGCCACTTTGTTAGAAAAGCACTTATTAAGTATCACTGTACCCAAGCATCCTGGGAACACCAAATATAAACAAGGTCCCTGCTCCACTGAAAAGCATTCTTGTAAACAAAAAACTGTAATACACAGAGACTAGTCAAATGGTTCATCTGTTAAGTACTAAAGAAACTCTTTTTATCTTCTTTTCTTCTCTTTGATAATGTTCAATTTTATAATTAGATGGTATGGGGGGTTGGTGTGTACAAGTTTGAGGTTTCCTATGAAGATGTGCTAGCTCTTGATTTAAAAGGGTCCATTTAGAATTACGGCAGAAGCATAAATAATATAGTACCTGAATCCATTGCTTCAAGCTGGAAACTTTCATCAGAAGACTCAAGCGCAAAGAATAAATTTCTAGCAGGGTTCTGTCAAAGCTCATTGTTCAGAATAGGCTGTATCTGAAAACGCTGTTATTCACCTGTCTTTGTTACCTTAAAACTAAAGACTTCCACCCAAATAAAATTATACGCTTCCTGCTGGTTGATGTTTTAATAATATACACAGGTGGCTAAAGATTTATCAAAAGTGATTGCTGAAGTAATTTAGGGCAGTTTCGTTTGAGAAATGCATTTCCATCTGTTATTTTGCCATTGTGTTTTTGATAGAGCAAAACATGAAAATTATATTTAAGATTCAAAACTTTATATTTGTCAGGCTAAATATCTAAAAGGAAAACAAGACACCTCAGATTTGAAATTTATTTTGAATTACACTAAGTCTCTCTTTGACACATTTCCAAAATCATTAAATCATAAAATTTTAGAATTGGAAGAGACATGAGCAGAGCCAAAAAAAAACAGTCAGTCCTAGGTTCAAATATTGCCTGTAACATTTCATTGGTCTGGCCTTAAGTGGCTTTCAGGTGATACCATTTCAGAAATCACAAAGCTGAATTCATGCAAAAGAGAGTATATCAAATTCACGTTGCAGGAGTTAATGGAGGCGTTAAAGACCCCTTCAATCTTCCTTTTCTTTGAAGAGGTATAGAAACAAAATTAACTCAAGGTGAAACAAGTTAAGATTCAAACGTTGTTTTTGAAGCTACAAATAAGTAATGGATACAATTAGAAATCATTGAACAAATATTTGAGTGTCTTTCACAGAAAGGCCTTGGGTGATACGTCCAAGGCCCTGGACTAGCAAGGAGTCTAGTCTGGCAGTCAATCAATTAGAGTCAGTATGACCCACCTTTGCAGACTATAATGAGAGAAAGTTAGCATGGCTGACTCTTACTTCTACCCTTGCAAGCTGGCTGTCCTCACTCATTCCTGTGTGTAGGGTGTAGGCCAAGCTAACCATGGGAAGAATTTAGTTTATAATTTAATTTTGAAGCAAGGATGATAATAGTCCCTCCCTAAACCTAACCCCTCTTTACTAATGAAAAGCTATAGCATTAGTATTATTGGAGGGGTCTGAATTTTGCTAAAATGTCAGTGTAGTTTCCTTTCCTCTCTTTTTTTTCTTTTCATTTCTTTTTCTTTTCTTTTCTTCCTTTTTCTTTTTTTTTCTTTCTTTTTTTTTTTTTTTAACAGATAGGGTCTCATTATGTTACCCAGCTGGTCTTGAACTCTTGGGCTCGATTGATCCTGCTGCCTCAGCCACCCAAAGTGCTGGGATTACAGGCATGAGCCACCATGCCCAGCCAAGCATAGTTTCTATAATCCCTTATCGCTCAGGAGTCATGGCCATAGGTCACAAGATTTGTGACTTCCTCAATTGCTCCTATAGATAACATCACTATTGCAGAACTTAAAGTTGGTCTTTTGAGATGTTGTTCAGACTTGTGCATGCTGACAACTGATTGACCCCACCCAGACCTGTGACTCGTGACTCAACTGGTGCTGTGCCCACCTCTACTCAGAGGCAGATTCAGTACACAAGGACCATTTCCCATACCCCTAAAATTTAATCACCAACCAATCAGCAGCACCCATTCCCTAGCCCCTTACCCACCAAAACATAAAAACCTAGCCTCTGAGTTCTCAGGGAGACTGATTTGAGTAATGAATCCAGCCTTTCTGCTTGACCAGGCTTAAGTTAATTAAACTTTTTTTTGAGACAGAGTCTCACTTTCTTGCCCAGGATGGAGTTCAGTGGCATGATCTCAGCTCACTGCAACCTCTGACTCCCAGGTTCAAGTGATTCTTCTGACTCAGCCTCCCGAGTAGCTGGGACTACAGGCACGTGCCACCACACCTGGCTAATTTTTGTATTTTTAGTAGATACGAGGTTTCACCATATTGGCCAGGCTGCTCTCGATCTGACCTCATGATCCACCTGCCTTGGCCTCCCAAAGTGCTGGGATTACAGGCATGAGCCACAGCACTTGGCCTAAACTCTTTCTTTACTGCGATCACACTGTCTCAGTGAATTGGGCTTATCTGTGCAGCAGGCAAGAACACATCAGGTGATTACAAATATGCCCATAAAGTATAAGACTTACAAGCTAGGTAGAGGAAAAGCAAATGCTGTTCACTGCCCTGACCTTGGCCATTGCCTTGATGTGGCTAGAGTTACAGCTATAAATATATCTGACTGCATTATGCAGAAGTGGTATTATATCTTCTATATCCATGCTGTCCAAAATGGTGGCCACTGGTGACATATGGTTATTGAGTACTCAAAATGTGGCTGGTGTGACTAAAGAACTAACATTTTCACTTTATTAATTTGATGTTAATCATATTGAGTTGACATAAGAATTACTGAATTTATTTAACTCGAATAAATGTAGTTTTGAAACAGATACTTTTGCTTTAAGTTCAAATCAATTCTGGCTGGGCGCAGTGGCTCACGCCTGTAATCCCAGCACTTTGGGAGGCCAAGGTGGGCAAATCACTTGAGGTCAGGAGTTCAAGATCAGCCTGGCCAACATGGAGAAACCCCATCTCTACTAAAAATATGAAAATTAGCTGAGCATGGTGGTGGGTGCCTGTAATCGCAGCTACTTAGAGGTTGAGGCAGGAGATTAGCTTGAACCTGGGAGGCAGAGATTGCAGTGAGCCAAGATCGCACCACTGTACTCCAACCTGGGTGACAGAGCAAGACTCTGTCTCAAAAAAACAAAAAGAAAAACAAAACAAAAAAAAAACAATTCTTCTAAAAAAGATATACCAGGCCTGTCAATGTAGGTGTGACTATTAAAGAAAAATGATTATTTGCTACTCAGTTTAGTTATTGGACAATTTTTACAACATGGTTGGAACAACTTGGATCACAATCTAGTTTTTCAACTGGGAATTTTATAAAACCTAAATACAAACAGGGTATTTCCAATGAAAATTTAGTGTCTGAATAAATATGAGTCTGTCTTCATTTTCTCTCTACTATGAAAATGCTCTCACTCTACTTGGTCTCAGGAAAGAGGGTTTCTGGTGAGTTTGTCCTGTGGAAGTCTCTGTCAAGTGAACCTTCCTTTTGAGGTGGTGATACCTGAACAGCTGGGGTTGGAAAGTGCAGAAGCTTGGCAGGTCACTGGTAAGGTTCTTGAAAAGCCTTGACCTCAGGACAGCCTGTCTTTCCCTTTCTAGTCAAGTCCCCATTCTCCAGAGCTATGCCGATCTGGGGATGCAGGGACAGCACTAGCCAGTGGTATGTATCTGACCAGGGGAGCAATCCAGGAACTACGTTACTGACTCACAACAGAACTTATCTGGGTTTGTTGCAAAATGATTTTTTTTTTGTCTATAGAAAATAGAGTTATTTGTCTCCTCCCTGAAACTTATTGTGATATTTTTGAATAATGTGTTCACTGTTCTTCCCAAGGTGGGTCAGTTTTATGTGTCTACTTGGCAAGGCTATTGTCCCCAGTCATTTAAACACTCTGGAAGTTCTATTTGCTTTTTTATTGAGTATAAATGAGAAAAATCTGAAAACGTGAGTGAGGATCAATGAGTAGTTGGAGTGTCTGTGGTGGCACTATCATTGTGGTTGAGGTCACCTTGGATCTCACAGCTATAGGTATGGGAATCCCAGCTCTGCTCTTCCACTCCCAGAGATAGCAAATCTGCAGAGCTATAGACTCGCAGAGCCAATATGCCGAGATGCACCTGCCTGGAGAGAAAAATACACATGCACACACATGCATGAACACCCACAATGATGCATAATCTCTAACAGTGAAGAAAATGTGGCACAGTAGTTTCCCCTTATCCACAATTTCACTTTCTGTAGTTTTGTTACTCAAGGTCAACTGTGGTCCTTGAGTAACCAAGGACCCAAAAATAATCAGTAAAAAGTTCCAGAAATAAACAATTTATATATTTTTAATTGCTTTCCATTCTGAGTAGCATGATGAAATCTTATGCCATCCCACTCTGTCCCATTTGGGAAGCGAATCATCCCTTTGACCAGCATGTGACTGTAGACACTACCTGCCCTCCGTCACTTAGTAGCTGAGGGAAAAGACAGATCACATTCACATAATTTTTATTACAGTATATTGTGATAGCTTTTCTAACTGTTCTATTTTATTATTAATTATCATTGTTAGTCTCTTACTGTGCCTAATTTATAAATTAAACTTCATCATAGTATGCATGTACAGGAAAAACATAGTATATACAGGGCTCAATATTATATATATAGGTTTCAGGCATCCACTGGCGACTGGAACATATCCTGTAAGGATAAGAGAGGGTAACTTAATGTGGATTCCTGAATATCTAGTAAGCTCTCACACTATGAGAGTTATTAGGTTAAGTGCAGAAATATAAAACCAAACAGGCTAGATATTACTAATGTTAATCAGTATCTATTTTTCTTCAACTTCCATGTACTCAAAGGATTACATTCCTCCCCACCTTTTTTATAGAGACAAGGTCTCACTCTGTTGCCCAGATTGAAGTGCAGTGGCACAATCATAGCTCACTGCAGGCTCAAACTCCTGGGCCCATGTAATCCTCACCTCTCAGTCTCCTGAATAGCTGAGACTACAGGCACATGCCACCTGCCTCGCTAATTTTTTTTCTTTTTTTTCTTTCTTTCTTTCTTTTTTTTTTTTTTTTTTTTTTTGTAGAGACAAGGTCTCACTATGTTGCCCAGACTGGTCTTGAACTCCTGGACTCAAGTGATCCTCCCACCTTGATATCCCAAAGTTTTGGGATTACAGGCTTGAGCCACTGTGCACAGCCCTTTCCCCCTTTTTTTGAAGTTATGTATGGCTAGGTGACCAAAAAAACTGAACAGAAGTGTCATGTGTCAGTTGTCAGTTCTGAACTCTACAACCTCTCTGCCCTTGTCTCAGTGATCCTGAGACCATGTGTTGATGTGGAGCAGCACATGAGTCATCCACAGAGAACTGGTGGCCTGAAGAGTCACCTAGAGCACAGCAGGCTTACTTTACAGAAGTGAGAAATAAACTTCTGTTTTGTGAATCATCTAAGAATTGAGAGGGGAGCAATTTGTGTATTTCGTGTTTGTTTGTTTCTATAGCACAACCTTGCCTATCCTAATGAATGTCTAAGTAACACGTGGTACCTGCCCTCCATGTGCTTACAGTCTAGGAAGGTGATTTCAAGTGTCTCAGTGGCTTTAATAACATGTATTTATTTTTACCGAAATAATTAGTTATTTCCAATTTATGAAGGCATTTATTTCCAAAGATGATAGAATGATCATTTCAATATCAAAACATGTATAAAACAGGAAAACCAAAAAATTCAAATATATTTAGAGCATTTATTCTCAACCTTGGCTATATCAGAATCACCTGGGAACATTTTCAAACTACCAAGGTCAGGGCCCTAACTGTCAGAGATTCTGATTTAATTGGTCCACAGTGGAGCCCAGGCACTGGTATTTTTAAAGTTCCCTAGTTTCAGATTCAATGACTTTAATAATTGCATTAAGCTCCTGGGATAAGTCTTTTAAGTAGTCTTAATATTAAACATTAAATTAAAAATTAAACTTAACATTAGTTAGCTTCCAGTTATCCAAAGGAAAATAGAAACACATTTCTCAACTGACAGGTGACTGAAAAAAAAATGGCAGATAGGAGGCAGTACTAAAGTGCAGCTCCCACTCTGGATAGACAGAGCAGAATGTGGAGACTAGCATTGTGGACTATTGCTCCAAAAACTACTGCAGGAGTATACCAGAAAAGCCAAGAGAATCCACAGACCCTTTGAAGGAAGTGGATTCCTCCTGCAGGATCCAGGAGACATCTCAAATACCGTGCTGGTATCCACAGCTGAGAGAACTGAACACAGTTCACCTCACAGGACTCTGTGCAGACACCCCCAGTACCAGCCCAGAGCCTGGCAGCCCTGCTTGCTGGCTAGATTCAGAAGAGAAATAACAATCACTACAGTTTGGCTCTCAGAAAGCCACATCCCTAGGGAAAGAGGGGGAATATTACATCAAGGGAGTACCCCGTGGCACAAGAGTCTGAACAGCAGCCTTGAGCTCCAGATCTCCCCTCTGACATAGCCTACCCGCATGAGAAGGAACCAGGAAAACAATTCTGGTAATATGACAAGAGAAGGTTCTTTAACACCCCAAAAAGTCGCATTAGCTCACCAGCAATGGATCCAAACCAAGAAGAAAAATCTGAATTGCCAGAAAAAGAATTCAGAAGGTCAATTATTAAGCTATTCAAGCAGGCACCAGAGAAAGGTGAAGTCCAACTTAAGGAAATCAAATAAATGATACAAGATATGAGGGGAGAAATCTTCAGTGAAACAGGTAGCATAAATAACAATCACAACTTCAGGAAATAAAGGACACACTTAGAGAAATGCAAAACATACTTGAGAGTCTCAGGAATAGAATTGAACAAGCAGAAGAAAGAACTTCAGAGCTCAAAGACAAGGTTTTTGGAATAACCCAATCCAACAAAGACAAGAAAAAAGAATTTTGAAAATGAGCAAACCCCCAAGAAGTTTGGGATTATGTTAAATGACCAAATATGAGAATAATTGGCATTCCTGAGAAAGATCAGCATTCCTGAGGAAATTTAAAAGTTTGGAAAACATATTTGGGGGAATAATCGAAAAAACTTTCCCCGGCCTTGCTCAAAGAACACCTGGGAAATTCATCACAAAAAGATCATCGCCTAGGCACATTGTCATCAGGTTATCTAAAGTCAAGACAAAGGAAAGAATCTTAAGAGCTACGAGGCAAAGCATCAAGTAACCTATAAAGGAAAACCTATCTGATTAACAGCAGATTTCTCCCACCTTGGCCTCCCAAAATGTTGTGATTATAGGCATGAGCCACTGTACTGGGTCTTATGAAGGTATTTTGTAGAGGTGATTAAAATCCATAATCAGCTGACTTTAGGTAAGGGCAATTATCGTACACAGTCTGAATGGCCCTGATTCACTCAGCTGAAAGATCTAAAGAGAAGAATAAAAGCCTCTCAGGAGAATGAGATATTCTGCCTGTGGCAAAAGTTTCAGCTGACACTTATCCTGATGGCCTTCCCTAAGAATTTCAGACTTGCCTAGTCAGCCTCAGAATCCTGGAAGACAATTCCTTACAGTAAATGTCTTTATGTTTTCTACTTACTCCGTTCATTGTTTGAACCTCGATTGATATACTCCCCAACCCTCACTAAATTGTAAACCGTGAGGGAGAGATGTCTGTCTTCCCTTTTATGAATCCCAGTACCTAGCAACACGCCTGGCCCATAACAGGCACCCAGTGAACATCAACACAAACAAGGCTACTCTGTGATCATGATGTGGGCCAAGACAAAAGACAAAACAAAACAAAAAAATCACCATACGGCCATCTGAACAGACACAACATGAGCGTTGTCCAAGCCACGAAAGTGACTAAACAGCCCCCTCTCCTGGCTGGTATGAGTGACAGCTGCTCCTTTACCAATTACAACTTTAACCTTGCTCTAGTTTGCTTTCTCAATGGATAATTTATGAAGACACCCAATCATATAAAATTATTCTCACTTCCTGAGAGTATTCCATCTAAAGCAAAGAGCAAAGCCGGAAGGAAGGAAGGAAGGAAGGAAGGAAGGAAGGAAGGAAGGAAGGAAGGAACGAAGGAAGGAAAGAAGGAAGGAAGGAAGGGGAAGGGAAGGAGGAACAATCTGGTTGAAGAGGTAAAACATGCAACATAAAGGATGGGCCTTGAGACACAATAAATGCTATTGGAATTCAGCGTAAGGAGTGAGCACATCTGGCCATGGAGATCAGAGAAGATTTATAATATGACCTGGGGTTAAAGGATAGAGCGTGGGGGAACAAAAGTGTAGAGATTAGAAAGGGCATATCTGGACACATCATACAAGATAAACTAAACAAAGAATTCATGTGATAGAGTGAGGGAAAACAAGTGTGGACGAATAGATCATGACCAGATTTTGCACAATTAAATGCAGAACTTCATTCTTGCAGCCAGTGGTTTCTTGCTATCTATCTATCTAACTCTCTATCTCTCTATCTCAAGATTCAAAAAATTTTTCTTCAAATGCTTTTTACTTGGAGGCTAAAATCAAAGACAAAAAAAGTGTTTTTAATGGCACTCCTCTGGCTAAAGTGCAGTGTGGAAGACAGGATTCCGTGTACTCAGCTCCTCACTCACTGAGCTTTGAAAAATAGCTGAGACTCCATAAAGCTGAGTTTGAAAATCAATGTTAAAGTCATGAGCCATGTTAGTATTCATTCATTCATGTATTTACTCCATCAATCAATCAATTAATTCACTATTTAGAGCACTCTAACATGCCACATTTTGGAGAAGCTCCGAGTAAGAAGAGAAGCTTCGTCTCCTGGTGGTAGGACCTGATTGAAAAGGGACAATAACACTCCTGAGGTTGCAGGTCTTTGTGGACATTACTGAGGTCCAGCAGCAGCCTCCAGGTCCTATGGGGCTTATTCCAAAGACAATGAGTCCCTGACAGAGGAGGCAGACTGTTGTGAACACTGTAGATGTGTACTAGCCACATTTTTCCCGACCTCATCTCTCCTCCGTGAACTTGGGCCACAGCCCTGGGAAGATAAGTTAAAAACATAGTGCTCCATCACAAACATCTCTATGAAACATTGGGGCAGCAGCAAAGCTGCTGTACAGCCCACACAGCAAACTGCTAAAGCAGTGCCAAAAGGCACTTGAGGTGGAAAAGATTTTTAAAATGGAATATGAGAAAATGTTATCTATCCAAACAGGAAAAGGTGATGATCCCAGTGGACAGAGATAGAAGCACTTGTCACTTCACCTGCATCCTGTCTTGGAAAAAGCAGGATGTTTGACAAATCCACAGAGTCCCAAGGAGAATTCAAAGTCTACTTTCGTGGACCTTCTTGCAAGATTTTCCATTTTTCCCCAACCTCCTTATTTCCAAATGGCCTAGGCTCTTTCCAGCCAACGATCTTCCCATCACCCAGCAGGGCTTCAGCTCAGAACATTCTCTAAAAGATATCTAGCCTCCTCTTTTCTTGGTGGTTAGTCTTTTCATATTCTGTCTTTATTCATGGAATAGCCCATTCCTCACAGGGAACCAACAGATCTGTGCTCCCTGGCACTTTCAACTCTGAACTCCTGTCCTTTGTCCTGATCTCTTTGTAAACCCCCAGCCCAGGGCCAGTGTTAGGATGTGCCTTCTCCACACCAGTGCTGCACAGCCTAGCCCTATGGGAGAGAATCACACAATCAGAATGCCGATCGCTCCAGTAACTCCATCAACTCCAACTTTGGCTGCACCGCTGATGCTGCCCATCAGCCCTATATGATTCTCTTCAGTGACTATTCTCTCCGCAAAAAACACCTCATTCTCAGCAGACATCACCAGAAAGCAAAGTCATCAGGCATTAATTACTCGGGTCTTGGTGTTTCTACTGGCCTGATACTCAGAGCCAGGCCTTGGTGTTTTCCAGTTGAACACAACTTCACAGAACATCAACATAAACAAGGCTACTCTGTGATCATGATGGAGATCAAGACCAAAAACAAGAGCACGCTAGAATCATGTCTGAACAGACAGAACGTGAGCATTGTCCAATCCATAAAAATGACGAAACAACCCCATCTCTTGGCTGATATGAGTGACAGCTGCTCCTTTGCCAGTCATGTTAGGCTTGCTCTAGTCTGCTGTCCCTATGGATAATTTATGAAGTACCCCATGATGCAGAATTATCCTCACTTCCTGATAGCGTCCAATATAGAGCAAAGTCCCTAAACCTAACCTAACACAAGCTCATATCCTATAATAAATTCTCTCTAAAATTCTCTGAGACACTCCATGCTTTCCCAGGGAGTGCGTTTTCTTTCCAAGGCGGCATCAACCAAATTTGTTCAACTATAATCATGGTCCTGGTGGTCTTCAGCTGGGGGATATTGACAAGAATTATTTAAAAAAAAAAATTGCTTTTGTTGGGTTCTGTACTACACATGTAATTTACATGTGTTATCCATTTAATCCTTTGATGATAGTGAGGATTTGTACCCATTGTAGACATGGAAACACTAACACTGAATCAAATAAAAAGCCATCCAGGCCGGGCGCGGTGGCTCACGCCTGTAATCCCAGCACTTTGGGAGGCCGAGGCGGGCGGATCACGAGGTCAGGAGATTGAGACCATCTTGGCTAACACGGTGAAACCCCGTCTCCACTAAAAATACAAAAAATTAGCCGGGCGCGGTGGCGGGCGCCTGTAGTCCCAGCTACTCGGGAGGCTGAGGCAGGAGAATGGCGTGAACCCGGGAGGTGGAGCTTGCAGTGAGCCGAGATAGTGCCACTGCAGTCCCGCCTGGGCAAAAGAGCGAGCCTCCGTCTCAAAAAAAAAAAAAAAAAAAAAAAAAAAAAGCCATCCAAGTCACAGATCCAGCATAAAGGGTAGAGGGATACAGGAGTCTGGCACCTGAATGAAATAATGTATACAGTGGTCCATTTCCAAGACAAAGTGCCTTGAACCGGCTTAGGTCAGCAAACTACAGAAGAAACAGAGTATACTAGGCCCCTGCTTGGATAGCCGATGCCTGCTTGTCAGCCTCCCCCTTCCCCCGCGGCAACTTAGTTGCCTTTACCCAAACCGAAGAAGTTTAGTCTAAGATGAAAGTTTACTAGCCTGCAAAATAGCTCGTTTTGTCTGTTATCAGCCTGCCCAGCTACTTAAGTCATAAGTCAAATACTTGAAGAGCCCTTGAGCTAACTAGGATTGCAATGCATTGTGGGCTGCAACAAAATGCAGCAAGACAACCCTAAAAAAAAAAAACACCTGGAGCCCCTGTGCAACAATAGGTGACATCTGGGAAGACTGTGACCCCCATAGTACTCAGCCTACGAGGGAGGAACCAGGGGAGGGACCTGTGCTCTAGGGGTTAAATTGCTTGTGGAAACTGTGCTGGGTGTGCCTGCCTATCAGACACCCGATCTTGCAAGGTCCTCATTAAAAGTCTCACGCTGTTCTCCAGGTCTCCGAGTTCATCCTTTGGGTTTGGACGGGTGAGTTTGTCTCACACTCCGGAGCTCATGCTCTTAATGATTTTAGAAATAAAAACAAAGAAAATTTAGCAAGACCATTGTCTTCCTCACATCCTCTCCTCCAGTCTCAGAACAGGAGCTGTTTCTCATTATAATGTCAACCTCCCTCTCTGTCTGCTCTTTCATCCCTCCTCTTCCTCCTTAAGCAACTGGCTTCAGCAAATACCAATTTTCTTCTGATTCTTCATTTCTCTTTCCCCTAGGACCATCTTCTCAGTCAGATGTCAGCCTCTTTCATTCTAAAAACAAACCACAATTACCTCCAATGATCCATGGTTCCTTCACCTTTTCCATCTCCAGCCCAAGTTCTGAAAACCCTAGTCTACATTTGCAAGAGGAGGATAATTAATAGGCATGCATCAATGGAATTTTGGAAGCCTATCTTTTCCAGTGTGGAGGGCAAGAGTCGGTGGGAGAAACTCAAAAAAGAGTACAAGAAAATAATGATATCTGCAGTAAATTCTAAAGTATGAGGGGGTAAAATTGTCCAGTTGTAGGGATAGAAAAGGAATTTTAGAGTAGTTAGGTAAAAGTAAAATCACAGAGAAAGGAAAGCATGGCACATTTTTAGACCTAGTGAGTAGTCTATCTGCTGTATTAGTTTACTAGGGCCGCCATAACAAAATACCAGACTGTGTGGCTTAAACAACTTGTTTACTCACAGTTTTGGAGGCTAGAAGTCCAAGATCAAGGTGCTCCCATTCCTTCTGAGGTCTTGCTCCCTGGCTGGCAGATGGCACCTTCCCACTGTGTCCTCACATGCTCTTTCCTCTATGCATTTGCCTGCCTCGTGTTTCCTTCTTATAAGAACACCAGTCATTAGATAAAGAAAAGATGGCACATATACACCATGGAATACTATGCAGCCATAAAAAAGAATGAGTTCAGGTCCTTTGCAGGGACATGGATGAAGCTTGAAGCCATCATCCTCAGCAAACAAACACAGGAACAGAAAACCAAACACCGCATGTTCTTGCTCAAAAGTGGGAGTTGAACAATGAGAACACATGGACACATGTAGGAGAGCATCACACACTGGGGCCTGTTGCGGGGGGGTGGGGTAAAAGGGGAGGGAGAGCATTAGAACAAATACCTGATGCATGCAGGGCTTAAAACGTAGATGATGGATTGATAGTTGCAGCAAACTACCATGGCACATGTACACCTATGTAACAAACCTGCATGTTCAGCACATGTATCCCAGAACTTAAAGTAAAATAAATAAATAAATAAATAAATAAATAAATAAATAAATAAATACTTGAGGGGATGGATTAAAAAAAAAAGAGTACCAGTCATATTGCATTAGGAACCCCCCCCCCCCAATCCCCCGTGGTCTCATTTTAACTTAATTACCTCTTTAAAGATGCTATCTTCTAATAATTACATTGTGAGGTACTGGGGGTTAGGACTTCAACAGATGAATTTTAGGAGGGACACAACTCAACCTATAACATCTGGGATATACAGGAGCAGGAAAGATGGGGCCAGAAATGCAGATTAGGATCAGCTCACAGATACCTGGGAATATAAGAATGGGAAACTTGAACTTCTTTAGATAGTGAGCTATATGAACACCTGAGATGACATACTTCACTCATTTAACCTTCAAAATTGAAGGTTAAATATGCTAACATGATTCATTTACAAATAAATTATCTTTGAATGTTATAATGTGTATTTTGCAGCAATCAACATTTCCCTCTAAAGAAACTCGCTTTCAGATATATATAGATATATATAGATATCCACATTCTCCTATTTTTATCCTCTTCTTTCAAACCAACCCTAAGAGGAAGATCTTATAGATAGCAAGAGATTATCTGAAATGTACATATAGCCAATGCTACAAAAAGGTTTGGATTAATACTCATTAAGTATTAGCTCAAATTCTTGGGAAAGCAGCTAACGCTATTCTAAATATAGACCACCTGCTTTCCCCAAGGGAGTCAGTAAAACCTGAGTGACTCAGAAGCACATTGGAGAGACAAAGGATCTGCTGCAGCAGCAATGAATGGTCTTTAGAAAGGCAGAGGAGCTGCCCTTGCACTTTGCAGGAAGGGCAGTGCATGCAAGATCTTCCCTCCTGTCACACAGACAGAACTGATTCCAGCCTAGAAATGGCACATTCTCAATGGAGAAAGGGAAGGTCATTTTGTAGGTGAGAAAACTGAGTCACAAACTGAATTCTCAAGGTCTCAGAACCAAAACCTCGTGGAGCAGGATATTAAAACAGGCATTCTGATTCCAGAGTCGGTATTTTCAATCACCAAAATGCTGTCACTCGTGAGAAATGGGCTGTCATGGCAGCCACCCCTCCTCTCAAATAAAAACCATTATGACAGTTTGATGTCAACAAAGCACCATTGACCTCCACTTATTCCAGAAAATGGCCACCAGAGAAAACCTTCCACCCATAGCATTGAGCAATCCTTAAAGAAACTGCCAAATGTACCTGAAGACCAATTAGAAAATCACCCCACTTCCAAAGCTCCTGTCTTCATAGAATGCTTGTTAATGAGAGGCTGCCTCACATTTCCTCTTTTTACTCAATAAAACAGATTCTCCTCTGAACCTCTGATCGCCTGTTGAAATGCAAGTGACAGCAGATGGTTTCCCTGTCTGGTCTCAGACTTACTTTTGTCTGTGACAACCAAACAGAAATCAGTTTGACCCTTTAGGTTTATAATCATGTAAAAGTAATCAAATTCAAAGTACTTACAATTATTACACACTGAATCTACTGAAAACACAATAAACTTTATTAAAACAAAAATAATCCATGTCATACTCTGATCAGATATTAACATTAAAAGACATAATTGAGTGTTGAATTCCCTGACCACACGTGGTAGCCATGACTCTGAATCAATCCAGCTTTATAGTAACTTTTCCCCTTTGCAAATCTCTAAACCTCTAAGTAGGTTAAGAAGCCTCCTCCATTCTGCACAGCAATGGAAATCATTGTTCATGAGAAGGAAGATGTAAATATCATTAATTAAGAGCAACTGACAAATCTTGAAATCTTCCTCCCAGTACTTGAGATGATAAAGTATTTTTATAAGAAAAATTAGAGCGAATTCATCAAATACCTTAAAAAAATATTAAGGGTAAAAGTATTTCCCAGGGTGTTCTCATGTTTTAATTTGAACAGCAGTCCTGTAAAATAAATGATCATAATATGGCTTTCAACAGAGGGGCCTATGGAAAAAAATGGAACTATCACTTACTCACCTTATTGGTCTATGTCCTCACGAATAGAATAGAAGATGTCTCTACAGTGCATCAGGACTAAGAAGACATGTCATTTGCCCCAATCTGCCAGTGTGGTCCTAAGTTTAACTGTACCACAATCTGAGCATTGTTATGTATCCACTCATAAACCTGATCTGTAAGGGACACAATACAAAGGTTACTCTTTATTCTTAATGTGTAGCTGCAAGAAAAGAAGCAAGCGCTTACTTACCTGCTGAAAGATGAACACTGCCACCTGCTGAGTAAGAGAACTAACAAAAATGTGCAAAGTTATGCACTTTTAAAACTGTGACATTTTCTAGTTTTCATTAGTGAGAGCAGTAAAAAGTATTCACTTCGTTGTTAAGTGAAATACATGAACATCTGGCCTGTTGTGGTGATTACTTAAGATCCCATAGTCCCAAGAAAATAATAGCAAAGGCAACTTTTTTCAAAGCAGTCCATCCAACATTTCCCAAAAGGTATGACAAAGAGCAATCTTCACCTTCATGGTATTTACAGCTCTCATAGAGCCTTTCTGGAATTCCCATTGTTTGCATGGCCACAAGTACCCATATACTCATTTTTAAGCTTCTAAGTAACACAACCCGAAACTGCAAAGCACGACAGAAAATTTCGGACCAGAGAGAAACTGGTGGTTTTGCTCTGATGTGCAGCATTCACAACTGTATCACTTCCCCTTCATATGCTGAATCGATATTCATCCTACGAATTTCTTATATAGACCAGGGTGTTCCAGAGGAAAGGCAAGGAGAAGAAGGTGGGGGCGGGTAGTAAAAAGGGATAAAAGACTCAAAGTTATACCACCTCCTAAACATGTGTTGTCAGCTTAAATTAAGGCTCTAAGAATTCCTACTTTGTTCCTATTATTAAATGAACTAGTTATCCAAAAGTCTCGTAAATTGTAAAATATACAGATATTTGGAATTTTTTCTGATTATATTAGAAAGAAGTAACCTGATAGGGCAGGAGGAAGCTCGGGCAATTAGCTAGAGGATTGTTTCAGTTTCTAGTGCCAGGGTGATAATGAGATTCTAGATTCTAGATTAAAATGGAATAAGACTGGATAACTAGGATTTTTTAATTGAGGGAAATCTTTATGATTTGGGGGATAGATAGAGAAAATAAAGGAAAAAGGGAATGATAATTCTATTGTTAGCAGAAATAGCGTTGCTGAGATGATACAGAAAATGGAAGGAATAGGGAGGAGAGTAAGCAGTTCTCTTTTAGCCTTGATGAGATTAAAATAGATGGCAAGATGCTTAAGCTAATAAAGCTCTGTCCTCAATCTTGCAAGCAGGAAGGTTACTCAGGAGGACAGAAGCCAACATGCTAAGGATGGAAAAGTGGAAAGTCACCAAACTCTGGGTCCTTGAGTCCTCATGCCATTGCATAGCCACCTTTGGGACTGACATTGTTTTAATCATGATATTAATCGTGGTATTTAATCATGGCAAGTATTCTGTTGCTTGCAACAAAAGCATTTCTAACCAAGACAGCAGCGAATTTGAATTCAGCAAAATATAAAGTAATCTTGGTAAGATAACAGGTTTTTTTTTTAACTTCAAATTTTGCTCCTTTGGAAACTTAAAAAGATAAATTGTTTTAGAGTAACAGTAGCAGCGAAAACACAGAAGATAAATTTACTTATAATTTAAGATGATTGATGTGTTTTTACATGGCAACGTGAGACATACGTGTATAAAAAGCATTGTTTAGTTCAAAAGTGCATTTATTTTAATTTTAAAATGGGAATTATGCTAAATCATGAGCTAATATATTTTTATATATGAGCTGTTAGAAACTATTTCTTTTTATAAGAATAATCCTCTTTCATAGACTCACATAAGAAAACTAAACATATGAAGAAGATGGATTAGATCATAATAGTCTATATTGATGATTTCTTTACTTCTCAGTTCCTCTGTTCAATACAGAACCTTTAAAAGGATAATACTCTAAGAACTTTAACTTTTATTTTTAATTGATAAAAAATTGATCTAGATAATTCTCCTTACAATACCTATAACACATTAAAGTCAGTTATATCTCAAGTATGATTTCTGAGGAAATAATACCGAATTTTTTCTGGAGAAATGTGTTTAAATAAGATGACTAAGTTTTTATTCATAAAAATAATAGTAAATGTTGACCAGTACAGGGGCTCACACCTGTAATCCCAGCAATTTGGGAGGCTGAGGCGGGCAGATTGCTTGAGCCCAGGAGTTCAAGACCATCCTGGGCAACATGGCCAGCCCTCATCTCTACAAAAAATAACAAAAAATTAGCTGGGCGTGATGGCATGTGTCTATAGTCCCAGCTACTTGGGAGGCTGAGGTGGGAGGATTGCTTAAGCCCTGGAGGCAGATGTTACAGATCACACCCCTGCACTCCAGCCTGGGCAAGAGAGTAAGGCCCTGTCTCAAATAATAATAATAGTAAATGTTGATTACTATGTTTATTATGTGCCAGATATTCCATTTTTTTTTTGAGACAGGGTCTCACTTTGTTGCCCAGGTTGGTCTTAAACTCCTGGGTTCAAGTGATCCTCCTGCCTCAGCCTCCCAAAATGCTGGGATTACAGGTGTGAGCCACCACACCCAGCCCGTGCCAGGTATTCCTAATCCTAAAGAAGAGAACTATTATGATCACTTTTTAAGTAAGGAAATTGAGACACAGAGGAGTGGTCAGGTAACTTGCCTAATGATTAAGAGTTGGAATCAGAATCCACATGCAGGCAATCTGACTTCCAGACCCCACACATAGCACACTACAACTCTTCAATGCCTTTTCCTGCAAACAAAAATAAAGTGGGCATATTATCACTTTTCTTATGATTCTAAGTATTCAAACACCTATTTTAAGTAGGTTGGAATATCTGAAAACCATAATAAATATTAAGAAAGACTTCTTCAACATATAAAAACTAGAGAAATAAGCCATTTTCTGGCCAAGGCCTTCCTCCACCTAAATTGGTCTATGGGATGTTGGATCTCCACTGCCATACATTGGCTGACTCTTTTGAATGATGTTACAAAAGCATATCACCCTTCCCTAAAGCAATCAAAGAGTTAGACAGGCAAGAGTCAGCATCTGCTTCTATTTTTTTTTTTTTTTTTGGAGTTTTAAAAGAAGTAACCACAATGGGAAAAGGATAGACTCTTTAATAAATGATGCTGAAAAAACTGGATATCCACATAGAACAAATGAAATTGGATCCTTATCTTACATCATACTCAAGAATCAACTCAAAATGGATTAGAGATTTAAATATAAGACCTGAAACTGTAAAAACAAATCCCAGAAGGAAACACAGGGGGAGAGCTCCACAGAGTTGGTTGTGGCAAAGATTTTTTTTTTTTTTTTTTTTTTTTTTTTGGTCATGACAGCAAAAGCACGGGCAGTAAAAGCAAAAAAAAAAAGCAAATAAGATTACATCAAACTAAAAATATTCTCCACAAATAAGAAAATAATCAACAGAAAGAAAAGGCAACCATAGAATGGGAGAAAATATTTGCAAACTACATGTAAGATAAGGAGTTATGGTACAGCCATTATGGAAAATAGTATGAAAGAACCTCAAAGAATTGAAAATAGAACTACCATATGATCCAGCAATCCCACCTCTAGATATATATATATCCAAGGGGAATAAAATCAGTATCTCAAAGAGGTGTGTGAACTCCCATGTTCACCGCAGCATTATTCACAATAACCAAGACATGGAAACCACCTAAGCGTGCATGGATGGATGATGGATAAAGAATATGTGATATCTATATATCCATATGGATATAGTGATACATATATGTCTATATCAATAAAGAAATGTAATATATATGTATATATGTCTCTTTATCTGACAATGTAATGTAAGAAAATCTAATACACATATACGTATATATCTTTATCATATATATCACATTTTATTTATTCATATGTTCATCAATGAACACTCAGGAGGTTGTTTCCATATCCTGACAATTGTGAATAATGCTGCAATGAACACAGGTGTGCAGATGTATAACATAGTTGCAGGCAGACCTTGGAGATATTGCAGGTTCAGTTCAGATGCCTGTGGCAGTTTCTTAAAATAAGACTGCAATAAAGGTTGCTGCATCAATTGACTCTTCCCTTCATGAAAGATTTCTCTGTTGCATGTGATGCTGTTTGATAGCATCTTACCCACAGTAAACTTCTTTTAAAATTGAAGTCAATTCTCTCAAACCCTTCTGCTGCTTTATATAAACAAATCCTTCTAGTTTATATAATATTCTAAATCCTTTGTTGCCATTTCAACAATGTTCACAGCATCTTCACCAGGAGTAGATTCCATCTCAAGAAACCACTCTGTATATCCATAAGAAGCAACTCCTCGTCCATTCAAGTTTTATTGTGGCATTGTAGCATTTCAGTCACACCTTCTAATACTAGTTCTAGTTCTTTTGCTATTTTGAACCACATATCTTGAACCCCTCAGTCATCCATGAATATTGAAATCAACTTATTCCAAACCCTTGTTAATGTTGATGTTTTGACCTCCCCAAAATGATTCATCATTCAAGATGAATGATGAATGTTCTTAATGGCAACTAGAATGGTAAAACCCTTTTAGAAAGTTTTCAATCTACCCTGCCAAGATCCATCAGAGGAATCACAATTTATGGCAGGTATAGCCTTACAAAATGTACTTCTTAAATAACTAGACTTGAGGGTCAAAATTACTCCTTGATCTATAGGCTACAGAATGAATGTTGTGTTAGCAAGCATGAAAACAAAACTAATCCCCTTGCTCATCTCCATCAGGGCTCTTGGATGACCAGGTGAATTTCCAATGAGAAGTAATACTTTTGAAAAAAAAATCTTTTTTATTGCTGAGCAGTAGGTCTCAACAGTAGACTTAAAATATTCAGTGAACTATGCTATAAACAGAAGTGCTGTCATCCAGGCTTTGTTATTCCATTTACAGAGCACAGACAGAGTTGATTTCACCTAATTCTTAAGGGACCTAGGATTTCAGGAATGGTAAATGAGCATTGGCCTCAACTAAAGTCGCCAACTATCTTATCCCCTAGCAATAGAGTCAGCTATCCTTTGAAGCTTTGAAGTGAGGCACTGACCTCTCTAGCTATGAAAGTCCTAAATGCATTTTGTTCTAATGAAAGGATATTCATTTACATTGAAACTCTTTTATTTAATGTAGCCACCTTCCTTAATGATTTTAGCTAGACCTTCTGGATAACTTTCTGCAGCATTTGCTGCTCACCTTGCACTTTTAAGTATGGAAGCAGTTTCTTTCCTTAAACTTAATGTACCAACCTCTGCTAGCTTGAAACGTTGCTTCTGTACCTTCCTCACCTCTCTCAACACTCATAAAATTCAAGATCGTTAGTACCTTGCTCTAGATTAGGCTTTGGCTAAAGGAAATATTGTGGTTTGTTTGCTCTTTTGTCCAGACCACTAAAACTTTCTCCATATCAGCAATAAGGCTGTTGTTTTGCTTTGTTATCATTCATGTGTTCATTGGAGCAGTACTTTTAATTTCCTTCAAGAACTTTTCCCTTTCATTCACAAGTTGGCTATTTGGCATAAGAGGCCTAGCTTTCAGCCTATTTCGGCTTTCACTATGACTTCCTCATTAAGTTTCATCATTTATAGCTTTTGATTTAAAGTGAGAAACATGTGACTCTTCTTTTCACGTGAACACTTAGATGCCATTGTAAGGTTATTAATTGGCCTAATTTCAATATTGTTGCATCTCAGGAAACAGAGAGGCCCAAGGAAAGGGAAAGAGATGGGAAACGGCTGGTTGGTGGGGGAGTCAGAACACACATAACATTTATTAAGTTTGCTGTTTTATATGGGCATGATTCATGGTGCCCCAAAGCAATTATAATAGTAACATCAAAGAATACTGATCATAGATCACCATAACAGATACAACAGTTTGAAACATTGTGAGAGTTACCAAAAAGTGACACAGGGACACAAAGTGAGCACAGGCTATCGGAAAAAATGGCACTGACAGACTTGCCCCAGGCAGGGTTATCACAAACCTTAAATTTGTTTAAAACATGTAATATCTGAGAAGTGCAATAAAGTGAATTGCAATTAAACGAGGTATGCCTGTATAAAGATATATGTAATATCATTTAGCCTGGACAAAGAAGAAAATTCTTTCATTTGCAAAAACATGGATGACCTAGAGGACAAAGTGAAATAAGCCCAACAAAGAAAGACAAATACCATATTATCTCACATATGGAATTTTTAAAAGTAAAACTCAGTAGAAACGGACTAGAAGAGTGGTTACCGGGGGTCAAGGAGTGGGGAAAATGGGGAGAGGTTTGTCAAAGGGTACAAACTTGCAGTTTCAAGATGAATTAGTTTCAGAGATCTAATGTACAGCTTGATGACTACAGTTAAAAATAAAGCATATTTGAAATTTGCTAGAATAGATCTTAAGTATTCTCTCCACAGGGGGGAAAAGGTAACTGTGTGAGGTGATGGATTTGTTAATTAGCAGTTTGACTGTGGTAATTATTTCATTTTGTGATATCAAAATATCACATTGTATACCTTGAATAATACAATTTTTATGTGTCAGTTATACCTCAATAAAGCTGAAAAAACTAATAAAGCTTAAGAGGTTTGCTTTTAGAAAAAAAAGAAGCAGCCAAATTTTGGCAAAGTTTTCTCCAATCTAAGTTCTTGGCTTCATCATATTGGAACCTCCTCTTCCCAACAGTCCCAACAAAGGTTTGGTTTATTTTTTTGTGTGTTTGTTTACTTAATTTTTTTTCCTTTATTAATTTTTTTTGAGGCAGGGTGTCACTCTGTTGCCCAAGCCAGAGTGCAGTGGTGTAATCACAACTCACTGTAGCCTCAACCTCCCAGGCTCAAGCAATCCTCCTACCTCAGCCTCCCAAGTAGCTGGAACTACAGGCCTGCACAATCAAACCTGGCTAATTTTTAAATTTTTTGTAGAGATGGGGTCTCACTATGCTTCCCAGGCTGGTCTTGAACTCCTGGGCTCAAGGAATCTTCTGACTTCGGCCTTGCAAAGTGCTGGGATTACAGGTGTGAGCCAGCACACCCGGCCTGTGTTTGTTTTATTTTTTTCTTCTTGAGGGTTAACATCTATAGATAACCCAAGAAGTAATTCTCACTTCAATTCATCCTACCTATACATCTGACTCTCCTCTCCCATATTAAATCTTTTCTACTTAAGAACACAGTGTAATGGAGCCAGCATCCCTGGTTTCTAAAACCAACATCACCACCTAATATCCAGATGCCCTTGGCAAATTACTTAACTTCTCAGGGACTCACTTTCCTCATTTTTAAATCAGGGCTTGTATCTACTTTGTAACAGTTGTTAGGAAGATTAAATGAGATGTTCTACGTAAAGTGGTTGGGCATTACTGGCACATGGTAAGCACTTAGCCATATTGGTATTATTCACATTATTAAGAAAATGAGTTCTAGAACACATTCTGGGGATCTGCTGTACACCACAGTACCTATAGTTGACAATGAAGTATTATACACCTTGAAATATGCTCAAAGGATAGAGCTCATTTAAAGAGCTTGTACCAGGAAACAACAAAAACCACAAAACAACACAAGGAAATGGTTGAAGATGATGAGTATATTTAGTACCTTGATTTTGATGATGGCATCATCTATGTTCAAACTCATGAAGATGTATACATTAAATATATGCAATATTTTATATATTGATTACATATCAATGAAGCTCTTTTTAAAAAATGATTTCATAAGATTTTCAGGCATTCTCTTGCTTCAGATTCAGGCCTTATTAGTGCTTGTACTTTTAACATTAATTTTAATATGCATTTGGGTACTTTTACACAAACCAAGCTTTTAAAAAACATTTTAAAATATTTCAGCAGTATTCAGGTTGGTATTTGATCATTTTCTCTCATACTTCAATCGTTTTCCACCCAGATTTTATTTATTTATTTATTTATTTAGTGTATGTGTGAGATGGAGTCTCCCTCTGTCACCCAGCCTGGAGTGTAGTGGCGTGATCTCGGCTCACTGCAACCTCCACCTCCTGGGTTCATGCGATTCTCCTGCCCCAGCCTCCCGAGTAGCTGGGACTACAGGCCCCCACCACCACGCCCGCCTGATTTTTTTTTTCTGTATTTTTGGTAGAGATGGGGCTTCACCCTGTTGGCCAGGCTGGTCTCAAACTCCTGACCTCAAGTGATCCACCTGCCTCTGCCTCCCAAGGCACTGGGATTACAGGTGTGAGCCACGGCGCCCGGCCCCACCCAGATTTTTAAATGCAATAGTCTGAATATTCTGTTTAACTTTTCCTTAGAAATAAACCTGCCAACATTTTTCTCAATGTATCAATACAGAAGATATTTGCCATTAAATGAGATCCGCATTATTTCCCTTACTTCACCCTAAAAACATACATCATAAATACACATGTACAAGGAATTTCCTCCAAACACTTTATTCAACAGAAATTATAACAATAGGCTTCAAAGTAAAATCCAGGAGACACGTTGTTAAGTTGTTCTGGTCTCCTTTTTCAGTATCATAATGCTTTTAAAAAACAAACACAACTGAAATAACTGGTGGCATTAGCCAAACATTATGCTGTGTCCTGCCATCGCCATCAAATAATAATATTGGAGTGGCATAACTTTGTCATGTTTAATGGTCATATCTGTGAAATGAAGGACAGTTGTAGAAATAGTTGACTTGCAGAAAAAGAGAAAGTATAAGAAATATTAAGAGAGCTGCTGTCTGTGAAGTTCCAGTTCTTGATTACCATTGCTAGCAAGGTTGCTCACTGACCAGCTTCCTTCAGTCAACGCCATATCCTACAGGTATTATCCTTGCTGCCTAATAAAACAGATTTCATGCAGTTATTTTTTTCTTCATTTCATTCACCTCATTCTCTCTTTCTACAAGTTGACATTTTCTGGGCCATTGGTAATTAACAACTTGCTAAATGGGCTAGGTTCTCCGCGCCTAGCTGCAGAGTCTCTGAGCAGCTCAGGCATTTTTAAAGTAGTGATTTTTTTTTTTTTCACGATACCAGCTAGTTGTAAATTAAGCAGGTACGCATCCTGCTTACTTACACTAGCAAGATTCATGGCTTCTCAGAATGGGAGAGAACTTGAGAATGCAGCCACCTCAGCCATCCCCTCTGCCGTCCCCTCAAACATCACCACCCAGTGGAAATACAGCAACTTTGAATATCTCCAGGTTTGGATGATAAGCTTAGGAAGAGGCAGGACATACCACTTTGGAACATTTCAAAATTTTAGGGGGTTTTTCTCATCATCAGTGGGCACTACTGGTTTTCTCACCTTCAGGGACCAGGCACATAACATCAATATAAGAAGTGTGAGTGCCTTAGGAATTAGGAAAGCCTATAAAAACCATATCCCACAAAATGACACTTCATGTTTTAACAAATGTAACGGTCATGCCAGCTATTTTTCTGCCATTTACTTTGTGATTCTAAATCCAGCCTCAGGTAGGCCACTACAAAATGCCTGCAGTTTATCACACCAGGGTCCACTCGGAAAATAGAGTAGATTCTTTCAAATAAAGTGACTGCTCCATCGATGGCAAGAGAAAAGTGTCACCCCAATCTAATAAGCTCTGTTGTCTAGTGAGCCAATGTTAAGCACTTTGGTGCTTTGGGATACACTAAATTAATCAGTGGTATCTTCAAAGAGCTCAGGAATGTATGTGCTGGCACCAACGCAAGGCACAATAACAAAAATTCTTTTGCTAAACTCTCCAGGGTCTTCTGTGAAAACTGGTTGAGGGAAGAAGTACTGCAGAGCCAGCCTCATATGAGGCCATGTGGACTAGGAAAGGCTGGTCTTCCTTCTTTCTCACTCCCTGCAGGAGCGCCCTGTGCCCTCCATCATAGCCCCTCACCTCTTTTCTCATCAAGGAGAAGGATTTGATATTGTGTTCACAACAAAAATCTATGGCTTGTTTTCCCAGTGCTTTCAAAGTACCTACATCTTAGTTAACACTTGAAAATCATAAGCCCAAAGATTTTGAAGATCGTAAGCCCTGTGATTTCGGAAACTGTCCATCATTAAGTAGACTGGGGAGGCATTTTAGGTGGTAAGGGGAGATAATTCTCAGCACCCCTGAAGTTATCTGACAAGGAAACCACCTAATTGGCCAATATGTAAAGCCAGCCTTGGGCCTGTGGCATTTAACTTATTAGACTAGTAATTTTTAAATTTGCTCAACATGATGAGAATCACTGGTACTTAGGCAGATCTGGTCTTCTGTGCTCACTTAGGGTGCCCTACTCCACACTATTGTGGCACCCATTCCCTGCCAAGGCCTCCCCTCGAGGCACTCCACTAACATGATACCATCATCTTGTCATTTTTCTCCCCTTTCCACGATCTAAACTACCCTTTTCTTATGAAATGTTGCTAATATTATTAATTCACCATAAACTGTTAACGGTTGAAAAATGGTTAATACATGTTCTTTCCCCCCAGACATTAGTGCTTTAGCAGGGGAGAAAACAACTCTGCTCAAAGAATAAATCTCTAATGGGCTGTAAAGCCAACTGGGGAGAATTTTGATCCTGACTTGTTTTGGTTACTAACACTTACTGACATAAACTCAACTTTTTTCTTGAGACAGGGTCTTACTCTGTCACCCAGACTGGAGTGCAGTGGCCTGATCATAGCTCACTGAAGCCTCCAACTCCTTGGCTCAAGTGCTCCTCCAGCCTCAGCCTCCTGAGTAGCTGGGACTACAGGTGTACGCCACCATGCCCAGCTAATGCTCTATTTTTTTTGTAGAGACGGGGTCTCACTATGTTGCCCAGGCTGGCCTCAAGCATTTTTTCTGCCTCAGCCTCTCAAAGCACTGAGATTGTTGGCATGAGCCAATGCGCCTGGCTGACTAAATATTAACCATTCAATTGATAGAAAACACCTGGGGAAATTTAGTAACCTGTAAGGCAGGCTATCAAATTGTTACCTTATCTAGAGCAAATAAAATTCAAAGTTCACAAAGGCTTACTACAGTCAATGGCAGCGCTCACTCCTGTGGGTCCTCATAAAACTAAAATTAAATAATGAAAATATGAGGGCAGGCCAAGATGAGCTAGTGACTCCAGAAAAGAGGTAGGGAATGGGGATGAACTCCTGTTAGTATTCAGCTTGGGAACTCTAACAGCCAATCAAGAAAAAATGAGTCTATGGTGTTGATGTCTTCCATACCTGTAATGACTATGTTGCCTTTATAGTTGAAAGCACATGAAAAGATTTCATCAGTGTGCCCCTCAAGAACCTGGAGGCACTGGCCAGTCTGAGCATCCCAGATTCTAGCCGTTTTGTCAGAGCTGCCAGTTAGAAGATGGTTCCCTTGAGGGTTGAAAGAAATCTGCAAAAGAGAAAGAAAAATGATCACAGCTTTGTGTAATGGTTCCCAAAACATTTCTTATCAGCAAAAAAAAAAAAAAAAAAAAAAAAAAAAGGACATTACAGCACATGTCACCTTCCTAGTCTGGTATTTATTCTTGCATAGAACAATTTCTTCATAATGGAAAAAAATATTGCAGGGACTAGTACATGGAAACTAAAATCCAGAGAGAAAATGTAATTGCCTACTCCTCACATTTCTAAGAATAAAGACCAAAGCATCCTTATAATTTGAGTATTCCCCACCCAGCTTCTTTCCAAAGATGCACGATGCCCTTCTCTGTGCAAAGATGCAGGGCCCTGGTGTGGATGAACACACGAGTCAGGATCCTTCGTAGCCAAACCCTGGTGTCATCTTTGTGGTCAAAAGCACACAGATCCGGGCCAGGGGCGGTGGCTCAGGACCGTAATCCCAGCACTTTGGGAGGCCAAGGCAGGTGGATCACCTGAGGTCAGGAGTTCAAGACCGCCTGGCCAACATGGCGAAACCCCGTCGCTACTAAAAATACAAATTTAGCTTGGCATGGATGGTGGCACACACCTGTAATTCCAGCTACTGGGGAGGCTGAGGCAGGAGAATCGCTTAAACCTGGGAGGTGGAGGTTGCAGTGAGCTGAGATCATGCCACTGCTCTCCAGCCTGGGTAACAGAGCAAGACTCCATCTCAAAAAAAATAATAAAAAATAAAAATAAATAAATAAAAATTTTTTAAAAAGCACACAGATCCTTCTCTAATCTGTGCCATAGAATAAGTGAATGTAGAACCTACAAGAAAGGATGTTCTCATCTACTGCCACCCCAAGTATAGCATTTTCCATAAATACGCTTCTGTGCCTCCCGTGTGCCAGGTGTTGCCAACTGGCATCTGAGTGACCATCAAAGGAACCTGTTAGTCCTGCATCCCTTTGGGTGTCACACTTACATCCCCCTCTAATCACCAGAAGACAGAGATTCGGGCCATCTCCTCAATGACTGAAGGTTTGAGGAGGGCAGGGCCGTATCTGTTTTTATCACTCTGTTACCAGTGGCTGTGCAATGCCCAGCACAGTGGACACTCTCTAAAAGTGTTTGTTGAATGAGTGAATACTTTAGCTTTGCACCCCATAGAAATGCCCTTACCAGATGCCAATTCAATAAGTAATATGTTCATTTAAAAAGCATAAAATGTAATAAAATAGCACTAGAGAATTCTTTGTATTCACTCATTCATGAAAATAGATGTTTACTTATGGAGGAGACACACAGATGTCTCAATAGCTACCTAGCCAGACACTCAGAAACATGGGCCAGGCTTCCTCCTCATCCTGCCTCCCACACCCCACTTTTCCATCCCCTCCTGCCATCCATAAGCCTCCCAGCTTATGAAGAGGCCATAGTCTGCATGCCCTGGAGACCACCACTGACCAGCCAGAGGGCAATGATCACCAGCTGTAGGTGCAGAAGCAGAAAGGCCGAGAGTACAGCCTGGGGCGGAGTTCCAGGGTCTAGAAGGGGCCTTTAGAAACCTAAAATCATCAAGCTGATATTTTGCAAAGCAGGAACAAATCTGATCTCAGACAGGGAACCAAGGGATTGTGCTGAGCTGGGAGGTGAGAGCCACCAATCCTAGCCTACTCTACGAAGTTCTGATGACACATCTAAACTTCAGATCACTGACTGGGTGGGCCTGCTCCGTGAATGATCCTTTGGGGGAAGTTTATACAAAATCCTAAAACACAGCTTTGTAGTTTCAAAATGGATAATTTTATAATTTAATTTTAATTATAATTTTACATATTTCCAGGAACTACTTCCTCAATTGCATCTAACTTACAGAACACTTGATACTTGCTGCCCAGCATATTTTTCGCACAACATAAACTTATGTGTTTACCGGAACCAGGAAAAGCAGTTTACACGCTCCTTAAATTGCCATATTAAATATCTTCAGCTAACTAAATCTTTTGCTGACAGTGGAGGCGAATGCTGTTCCATACTTTTTAAGAGGTTTTAGAAATAATTTATTATGCTAAGTTTGAGGGCACAGTTAAAAATAAAGTCTTTAGGTAAGTGATTTCTAGAAAAAAACATGAGACAATAGAACAAATCTTAATCTTAGTACTTCAATTCCAATAGACCTATTTATACTGAGCATGCTTTTTTTTTTTTTTTCTTTTTTTTTTTTCTAGATAGGGTCTTGCTCTGTCACCCAGGCTGGAATGCAGTGGTGCAATCACATCTCACTGCAGCCTTGACCTCCTGGGCTCAAGCAATCCTCCTTCCTCAGCCTCCACAGTAGATGGGACTACAGGTGGGTAACACCATGCACAGCTGACTTTTTTTGTTTTTTGTAGAGATGAGGTATCCCTATGTTGCCCAGGCTGGTCTTGAACTCCTGGCCTCAAGCAATCTTCTCACCTTTTCCTCTCAAAGTGCTGGGATTATAGGTGTGAGGCACTGCACCTGGGCCCTGCTCTTTATTTTTTGAAAGTAAATAAACTCCTCCAAATGAGAAAGCGACTCACCTTTGAAATTTCACCTTCATGACCTTCCAGTTTGGCAATGCATTTTCTTGTGGCAGCACTGAAAATTCTTGCTGTTCCTTTTTGAGAGGGGTGGGGATATATATAAATTCATCTTAAATACAGAACTTTGGATAAAAGACTTTGCATTGTATAAATATATATCCCCCTGACACACGAGCTCTGTGCTAAGTTCATCTTCTTGCCTGTGTTGAGAGCCAGATACTTAATACTCTAAATGCCTGCTGGTCCCATTGCAGGAGAGGGTGAGAGGGAGCTCCTCTTTAGCCCTGAGCTTATTAGAAGAAATAATGTATTCCAAGGTAGAAAAGAGACCAAGAAGCAGGAATCCAGAAAGAAAAAACTTTAAGAGAAAAAGAGGAATTAGAGCAAGTTTCAAGAGGCAGGTGATGAAATAAGCAGCAAGACCAGCATGATACACTAGGTGTGAGTCTGAGTTTCTGCAAGGTACACAAGGAACATCCCAAGAAGGAGCATCAGCCGCTACTCAACAGGCAAAAAACAGGCTTCAAAAACCCTTTTCTACAGAAAAAGCTAATAGAATGCTTTTTTCCTGCTCTGCCTCCAGCGCCAAAAGCGCCAAGCATATATTAGCCATTCAATAAATAGCTGTAGTATGGATGGATGGATGGATGGATGGATGGATGGATGGATGGATGGATGGATGATGGATGGATGGATGGATGGATGGATGGACGGATGGATGGATGGATGGAGAAATGGATGGAATAAGTACTATGGACATTTCCTCATCAGTAAAGGATGAATAAGTTAAATAAATAAGTATTGAAAGTGAAAAACATGAGTAGTAAAATTTTTGTTAGAAGAAAACTTACAATTTGCCTTGCCAGATGAAGACTGCTTTTTTAAATCTCTGATTATAGCATTACATAGTAGTAAAATATAGCAAGGATACAAAATTGTAGGTACTTGATTTGCATCCAGAGAAAAGTAAAATATCATAATAAATTTTTTACTTGCCTTTCTGACAATGTCAACTTCATGAGGAGGTACAAAAAATGACAAAACCTGCCATTTTAGAATTAATGTGATTAAAAAATATATAACTTGAAATTCGGTTGGACATTTCAAAAGCCTTAAAGGGAAGTGACCAATTTGGTTTCAGAGTCAATAACATGAAAGAGAATGTCCTGCACAGATCTACACTCTAAGTTTTATAAAACTATATGTCTAAACTTCAGAAAACTCAGAAATAATATGGCCTGCAACACTGTAATTTTTTTACAGATAGGGATACAACTAAAGAAACAAAAAAATCGGCTGGGCGCAGTGGCTCATGCCTGTAATCCCAGCACTTTGGGAGGCCGAGGCGGGAGGATCACGAGGTCAGGAGATCGAGACCATCCTGGCTAACACGGTGAAACCCCGTCTCTACTAAAAATACAACAAATTAGCCGGGTGCGGTGGTGAGCACCTGTAGCCCCAGCTACTCGGGAGGCTGAGGCAGGAGAATGGCATGAACCCAGGAGGTGGAGCTTGCAGTGAGCTGAGATAGTGCCACTGCAGTCCCACCTGGGCGAAAGAGCAAGACTCCATCTAAAAAAAAAAAAAGAAACAAAAAAATCAGCCTTCAGAATAATTCCAATAAAGAAGAAAAAGTAGATAGATCGATCGATAGATGGATAGATACATAGATAGACAGACAGACAGACAGACAGACAGACAGACAGACAGATAGATAGATAGATAGATAGATAGATAGATACTGTCATGCATGGTCATGAGGGAGACGACACAGACATAGCTTAGTGTCACATGTTGTCAGAGAGATAACATAAACATAGTGTAGGGTCAAATGTGGTTATCAAGGAGATGATGCAGATACAGTGTAGTGTCATACATTGCTGACAAGGAGATTATACAGACATAGGTCAGAATTATGGAGCTGACACATACACAGTGTAGCATCATACATGATCATCAATAAGATGATCCAGATGTATAGTAGTATCTACACAGGAGTCAGAATGTTAACATAGACATGCTGTACATCATATGAGGATTTAAAGGAGATAACGCAGACATAGTATAGCCTGATGTGTGATCACTGTCAAGTTCAGGTAGATGAAAAAGACATAGTGTAGCATCACATATGATCATCAAGAAAATAATGGAGACTTCACAGGTCATATGTGGACTACAGAAGATGATACCCAAATAATATAGTATACATGGCCATCACGGATATGACATATATCCATGGTTATCATATGTAATTTTCTAGAAGATGATGCAAAATAGTAAAGCACTCTACAAGGTTATCAAGAAGATGACAGAGAAATAGTATAGCATCATACTTGGTTTTCAAGTAGATGACATGCACATTGACATTCATAATACGTGACTATCAAAGAGAATGACCTTGGTTTAAACATCATACATAGTTACCAAAGAGACAACGCAGTCATAACAGCATCATATGTACTTCTCAAGCAGATTTTGCACATATAGTGTGGCACCATATATAGTTGTCAAGGTGATAACACAGATATCTTGCAGCATCAAATACTGTCATCAGTGAGATTACTCATAATATCATGCATAAGTATTTTTAAATTGATGTAAACATAGTATAAATTAATGTACTGCTGTTAAAAACAATGCAGACATAGCATATAACCATAAGTGGTTGTCAAGGAGATGATTACATATTAGATATAGTGTAGCAGTACATTATTTTCAGGGTAATAGTCATACAGGGTCTCAATAAGACAATGAAGACATAATGTTGCATCATACATGGTTATCAGGGAAATCACAAAGATTTAAATGCCACAGATGTTTATTAGAAATATGTGACTGATAAAATAGCTATCATGAAAATATGCAGAAATAATGTATAATCATATGTAACTTTCAAGGTGATGGCACAAACATTGTAGCATTATAAATTGTCCTAAATGAGATGAACTACGGCATAATATCATAAGGAATTTTCAAGGACATGATATAGACAATAGTATAACATTGATGTGGTTATCAAGAAGAGGAAGTAGATACAGTGTAGCATTATATATGGCTATTAAGGATATGACACATAAGATAGCATCACATATGGCTGACAGAGACAATTATATTTTAGCACAATAAATGGGAGTAGTGAGATGAAACATAGTACATATATTCAGTGTTATTAAGAAGACCAAAACAGAGTCTAGTACCATAGGATTTACTACAGACAGGGTATGTTACAGCATCACACATCATTCTCAAGGAGATGATTATCAGAGGTTATTGTCAAGGAGGTGTCACAGAAATAGTTTAGCATCACACAGGGTCATTGCAGAAAAGACATAGTTATAGTATTAATCCCACTTGGTGTTCAAAGAGATAATGCAGACATCTTCCAGCATCAAACATGGTCATTAGGAAACTGACCCATAAAATAGCATACTTTATGGATATCAAGAAAAAGAGGCAAATATAGAATAGCATATACATAGTACTTAAGTTGATGACACACAAGTGATGACACATACATAGAGTAACACCATACATTACCATCAAAAAGATGACCCATAATAGATTGTCATTTGAGAATATTGTGGAAATAATAAAATCATAGTATAGCATCATATATCATCATCAAGTAAAGGATGAAGATATAGTTTACATCACTACACAACATGAATAAAAGCAGAGCATCATATATTTATCAAAGTGTGCTGCAGTAATACTATACCATAACACATACTTAATAAAATTATGATGCAGACAGAGTGTGGCACCATATGTTTTTGTCAAGGGTATGATGCAGACATTATGTAGCATCACTGTCATCAGGGAGTTTAGCCATAGTACAGCAGTATCATACATGGCTCTCAAGGAGGTGAAAAAGTCATAATGTACCAATATATGTAGTATGTTAAAAGATGATACAGACATAGTATAGCATGACATGTAGTTGTCATGGTGGCCTATAGCCTAGAATTATATATGATTATCAATGATGTAAACATATCATGTGATTAAAAGGATGACATATATTAGTACGACATTATCTAAGACAGATATCATATTGATTCCAACATAAATTTCAAGATGGTGATGAAAACATGTAGCATCATAGGTGGTTTTCAAGGTGATGACCCTGATAAGATGTAGCACAATACATGTTAATGCAGACAGTGAAGTAGACATCATGTATCCTCATAAGTGATCATCAGTGAGATGAGGCAGACAATACAATGCCAAATGTGGGCATAAGGGGGATGACATAATCTAGTGTAACGTCATATGTAATCTTCTTGGATATAAGGTGCACAGAGTGTAGCATCATACATGGTTTCCAAAGAGATGACACAGAGTGGCATCACATATGGATATCAATATGATGGCTCAGCGTAGAATCATAAGTAGTAATCACTATTTATGACAAGTAACATAGATCACTACTTATGACAAATAACATAGATCATCAATGGTTGTAAAGGAGATTTGGTATACATAGTATAGCATCATAGGTGGTTATCAAGGAGATGGTGCATATAGTATTATAGCACCAGCCACGGTTATCAAGTTTAAGATGCAGACATATTGTAGCATCATACATTATGGTCAGAGAAATGACCCAAAATATAAGATAATCCTCAGTACAGGATCATAGATGATGAAGACACAGTATAGCACCATATTTGTTTATCAAGGAGGTGGTGCAGACATAGTACAGCATCACTCACGGTTATCAAACAAATGAGGTAGACACAGATGTGATGTGAGGTCCTATGTGTTTATCAAAGAAATGCCACAGAAATATTGTTGCATTATAAAGGCCTTTAGGAACATGAATAGACCTAATGTAAAGAAAGAGAGAGAGAGAGAGAGAGAGATACAGATATATGACTCTCTCTCTCAATAGATTAGATAGATGATGATGATGATGATGATGAAGATAGATAGACAGACAGACAGACAGACAGACAGACAGACAGACAGATAGATAGATATGATGACTGTCTTCTGGCAGAAGGTGTAGACATGTTGTAATGTCATACATGATGATCAGGGAGATGACAGAGACACTGTAGCATCTCAGTGGCCATAAAGAGCATGACATATGCATAGTACAGGGATATATGTGGTGTACAAGGATTCTACAAAGATTGATTTTAGAACCATACACAGTGCCAAGGAGATGACACATGTATAGTATCACATGGTTATCAGTGGGATGATGTGCATGTAGAGTACCATCACATATGGGAATTTTAAAATGGCACATAGGATAGCATTATACATGAATATCAAGGAGACGACATGCATGAATGCAGCACTGTGGGTTTTCCTCATGGAAATAACCTATATTATGGCATCATAAATGTCACAAAGGAGCTGGTCCATATAAATATCAGGCATCATATGTGGTTATCAAGGAGAAAAGCATTATCTGTGATTTTCAACATGATGAAACACACAGTATAATGTCACATGTGGTTATCAAGGTGATGACTCAGAAATAGGGAGATATAACACATGGTTATAAAGGCGGTAACTTAGTATATCATCTATAGTTATTAAGGAAATGAAGTACACATAATATAACATCACATGTCGATATGAAGGATATTATGTAGTCATGTTTTAACACAATATGTGGTGATATCAAGACCCAAACAAAGGATAGTGTCACAAATCATCATCAAGAAGATGATCTTCTCATGCGAGGTTCTGAAAGATGAATCCTAAAATTGCATGTCACTTTGTTATCTAGGAGATGATTCAGATATAGTACAGACTCATACATGATTGCGATTGTAAAGGAGATGACAGAGAAATAGTTTAGCAATATACATGCTTGCCAAATGTTCAAGCTCCTTTGTAACATTTATGATGCTATAAGCAGTGATAATATTGTACAACATATAGCTGTCAAGGATGGGGCATCAAACATGACCATCAGTGATAGGACCCAAAATGTGGCATCATATATGGTTGCCAAGGAAATTTGGAGTGATAGTGTAGCATACATAGTTGTCTAAGACATACAGATGCAAACGTATGAGAGCACAATCCACAATTATCATGTTTATCATTGCAGACACATGGCAGCTTTTTATATGATCATCAAGGAGATAACCCAGAATATGCCATCCTACATGATTAACAGGTAGGGGATGACAGCAGTATAGCTTATGTATGGTTTTCAACAAGGTGACACAGACATAGGGAAACATTTTTGTTTTCAAGGAAATGAAGAATACAAATGAAGCAGAATAGGCGGTCATCACTGAGATGACAAACACAAAGTGTAGCAATGTCCAGACCTCCAGTGATATGAAACAGACATACTAGACAGTGCAGCATTATATATGATCATCAAGAAGATAAGGAACACAGCATGTAGCATACCATATTGTTGACAGCAGATGACACAGGCATAGTTTAGCATCACGTCCAGTGATCAAAGAGATGAACACACCGGATAACATCAAACATGATTACCAAGAACGTGACATAACTCGGGCGGCTGAGGCAGGAGAATCGCTTGAACCTGGGAGGCGCAGGTTGCAGTGAGCCAAGATCGTGCCACTGCACTCCAGCCTGGGCGACAGAGCGAGACTCCATCTCAAAGAAAAAAAGAAAAAGAGAAAGAAGGTGACATAGATATAGCATAACATCATACATGTTGACCATGGAGATGAGGCAGAATGTAACATTATACTTGGTTCCAGAAAAGACAATGTACACACATAAGTCAGTATAGTATGGTATGGTATGGCATAGAAGAGTAGAGCATAGCGTAGCACAGTATAGACACACAGACACAGCACAGAGCCAAATATTGTTGTCATGAAAGGATCTATACATAGTGAAGCAGGATATATGGTCATGAGAAAGATGAATCAGATAGTATAGGGGCATAAGTGTCAGAGAGATGGCACATATGTAATGTAGCTGCCATTTGTGGTCATCAGGGAGATGATGTAGACATAGTGTAATCTCATAAAGGTCCTAAAGAGAGGTAAGAGATAAGATAGCATCACATGTGGATATCAGGGATATAACACATACGTTATACAGCATCATATGTGGTAGTCAGAAAGATGATACAGAAAGTACATGTGGTTATCAAGGCAATGACACAGACATAGTGGAGAAATTATAAGTTGTTGCCAAGGAGAGGATGAAAACATGTTCTTACAAATAAAATGATCATCAGGGAGACAAAGTAAATATATTATAGCATCATCCTTAAATAACTAGGCCATGTCACCCATAAGGTATAGCACAGCCCTTTGTATAGGGCATGATGAAGTTACAGTGTAATATAAGTGGTTTCAAGAAGATGATAAAAACATAAAATAATATGCAGTTGTCAGGCAGAAGCAGCAAACACACAGTATGTCATATGTGCTATTATATGCTGAATTGTGTCCTTTTAAAATTCATATGTTGAAGTCCTAATTCACAATATCTCAGAATGTAATATATATATAATATATATAATCATGTATAATTTTATATATACACATGTGTATATATACACATGTATATATGTATATATGCTTATACATACACGTGTATATATGTATATATACACGTGTATATGTGTATATACACGTGTATATATGTATATATGTATATATACACATATGTATGTATATATACACATATATATGTATGTGTATACATATATATATAACTATACATGATTCTTAAATATATGCAAGCATAGTATAGTTTCATCCATTGCCAAAAACATGATGAGACATAGTATAGCTTCATATACAATTGTCAAGGATATGGCTCAAAAAATAGTATAAGCTTACTTAGGTTGTCAGAGAGATAATGCAGATATAGGGCGGTGTTATATGTTATCAGGGAGATGACACATAGCATAGTTTCATACAAGACATCAGGGTCTCATGGATGATTGGATGCAGAAAAAAAGTATCTGGGTGATGACACATAATTTTGTGTCATATGAAGATACCATGGATTCGACACAGATATGTTGTAATGTCACAGGTGCTTATCATGAAAATGAAGCAGACATACTGCAGCATCATAAATAGTAGTCAGGGAAATGATGCAAAAATATTGTATCATCATACCCTGTTTTCCAAATGGCATGGACATAGTGTAGTATCATATTTGTAGGTCCTGGAGATTAATTGTAGCCTAGTGTAATAAATGGTTATTATGAATATGATGCCGAAATAGTATAAAGTAACATATAGCATCTTATGGGGTTGTTAAAGGGGTGATATAGTAATAATATAACATCACACATCATTGTCCAATACATTTCAAATAATGTAACACCACATATGGCTGTCTAGAATATGAGGGGTGTGTGTGTGTGTGTGTGTGTGTGTGTGTTCATCCACAAATATATTCATCAAGAAGATGGGGTCTCACTCTGTCACTCAGACTGGATTATAGTGGCATAATCATAGTTCGCTGTAACCTTGAACTCCTCCTGGGCTCAGGTTATTTTCCTCAGCTTACTGAGTAGTTAGGTCTACAGGTGCATGCCACCACACCTGACTAATTTTTGTTTTAATTAGCTAATTTTTGTTTAATTTTGTAGAGATGGGGTCTCACTATGTTGCCCAGGCTCATCTCAAACTCCTGGCCTCAAGCGATCCTCCAATCTTGGCCTCCCGAAGTGTTGAAATAACAGGCATGAGCCACCACACCTGGCCATGATGCATATATTATATAGCATCATACATGATCATCAAGGAAATTGTCATAGTACAATATCATATATGACTATCAAAGAATAAGGTACGCATAACACATGTTTTAGGATACCTCAGAAACATCACGATGTTGTATTTGGTTGTCAGGGAGATGATGCAGATGTAGTATAATGTCATATGTGGGTAACAGGATATACACACACAGTGCGGCATTGTGATGGTTAATTTTATGTGTCAACTTGACTGTGTTAAGGGATACCCACGTGGCTGGTAAAACATTGTTTCTGGGTGTGTCTGTGAGGATGTTAGACTGAGTAAATAAGAGCCACCCTCACCAATGTGGGCAGGCATCATCCAATCCATTGAGGACCCAGATACAACAAAAGGTGGAGGAAGGATGAAATTCTCTCTTCTGGAGCTGGGACATCCATCTTCTCTGGCCCTCGGTCATCGAGCTTCTGGTTCTCAGATCCCCAGACTCCAAGACTGACACCAGTGCCCTCCTCAGTTCTCTCAAGTTTTTGGCCTCAGACTAAGAGTTACACCATTGGTCCCCCCAAGTTTTTAGGTTTTCAGACTTACACTGAATTATACCACTGACTTTCCTGATTCTCCAGCTTGCAGATGGCATATGGCAAGACTTCTCAGCCTTCATATATAAATATGTGTGTGTGTATACTTATATAATATTGGTTATATACTATATATATGTGTGTGTGTATTTATATACTATTGGTTATATACTATATATACTATAAACAGAATTATATACATAGTATATATAGTGTAATACATATAAATATATAATATATAAAAATGTACAAATATATAATATAAAAAATACATAAAATTATATATAGTATAAAACAGAACCAATAGGAGACAGACAGACAGACAGATAGATAGATAGATAGATAGATAGATAGATAGATAGATAATATCACCACCTTTCTAAAGGTGGTGATGTGATATAGTGGACCCTGCAGACATGTTGGCCAGGGCAATGAGGTATAAATACTATAGCATCATACATGGATTTCTAAGAAATACTAAGATATGGAATAGTATCATATATGGTTATAAATAATTGGATAAAGATACAGTATAGTATCATACATTATTATAAAGAGGATAAAAACAGTGTAAATTAAACATAGTCAGATACATGACATAGATACAATATAGCATCATATGTGGTCATCAGATAGATAACAGACTTGGTGTAGCTTCACACGTGGTCATCAGGTAGATGGTATCGATGTAGTTTAGCATCATCTGTATCTTCAGGAAGATGACACATAGTTCATACTTCAAATTCTATGCCTCACAGAATAGCATCACGCATGGTATGTGATGTCGATATGACATAGACTTAGTATAGCATCACATATGCTTGCCAAGGAGACATAGGATGATGGAGACATAGTATAGTACCATGTGGTTATCAAGGATATGGTGTAGACATAGTTTAGTGTAAAATAGGAAATTGTCAGGGAGATAATGTAGAAATTGTATAGTGTTAACACATGTTTTTCAGGAATATGCTGCAGACATAGAGTAGCATCATAAATACTTGCCAGGGAAATAGTGCAGACACAATGAATCATCACATATGTTTGTCAAAGAGATGACACATAATATAACATCATATATGGTTGTCATGGGAATGACTTGTTGTTCAGTATCATAAAATGTTATCCAGGACATGATGCATGCATAGTACACCAACACAGATGGTCGTCACTGAGATAATAAAAACATCATATAGCATTGCATGTGGCTTCAACGAGATGACGTGGACAGAGTGTTAGTATCATACATATTTGTCAGCAAGATGATCATGGTTTTGCATCATATATGATTATCAAGGATATGATGCAGATATGGCCCAGCATCAAATGTGGTTTTAAAGGAGTAGATGAAAACACAGTATAGCATAATATGCAACTTTCAACAAGATGATGCAGATACAGTGTAGAAATAAACATGATCCTTAGGCGATAAGACAGACACAATATCATGTCACATGTGAGCAACAGGGAGATGACAGATATAGTGTAGTGTCACATGTGACTGTCACAGGATTGAAGCACACCTAGGATAGCACTATATATGGTTATCAATAAGATGACACATAGTGTAGAATCACAGTGGTAATCAAAGAGACAATGTATAGCATAGCATCATGTATGCTTATCACAAAGATGCAGTAGACATAGCGGAACAGCACATGTGGTTATAGTAAAGGAGATTATAGCACCATTGATGGTAATTAAGTTGACAAGGCCAACATAGGGTAACATCATATGTAATCATCAGGGAAGCTGGGCACGGTGGCTCACGCCTGTAATCCCAGCATTTTGGGAGGCCAAGGCAGGTGGATCATCTGAGGTCAGGAGTTCGAGACCAGCCTGGCCAACATGGAGAAACCCCGTCTCTACTAAAAATACAAAAATTAGCCAGGCATGGTGGTGCATGCCTGTATTCCCAGCTACTCGGGAGGCTGAGGCAGGAAAATTACTTGAGCCTGGGAGGCGGAGGTTGCGTTGAGCCGAGATCGCACCACTGCACTGCAGCCTGGGCAACAGAGTGAGACTCCATCTCAAAATAATAATAATAATAAAAATCAGGGAGATGACCCAGAATATAGCATCATATACAGATATTAAGAAGATGACAAAGACCTCATATACCTCGTTATGTAGGAGGTGACACAGACATTGCATAACATTACATGTGGTTATCAGGTATATGATATAGACACACTATTGTGCCATACATGGTCACGATAGAGATGAGACATGGTTTTTTATCATAGCTGGTCATCAAAGAAATGACCCATAGTGTAGAATTATGCATGGTTATCAAGCAAAGCATAAATCTCTCCAAAAATTAAAAGAATGAACAGATCACCTACCATCAGCTGAAGCAGTTGCAATAAGCTTTCCAGTGTAATCAAAGCAGCTGTCTAGTATTTCATCATCATGGCCTGTTAAGGTTGCCACACATTTTCCATTTGTAGCATCCCACAGCTACAATTAAAAGAACAAAAAACAAAAAAAAAAAGACTATGACTTTCTGTCTGAAGTGTGAAGATGGCCAGTGGTCTTCATGACATGCTTATGGCTGGTTAAATAACTGTGCAAAAATCACTTGTGTAATTCATGCATGTTCAGTTAGATTTACTTTGATTCATGACCAGAGACCACAGCCAACCATCAAGCAAGGCACACTCTAGTCACAGAGAAAACCAAAGTCAGACATTTAGAATCTGCCACTACATTAAAGAAAGAAAAAATATCTCAACGTGTATGCTTTACTGGTTGGTGAAGAGTTGTGCTCTTTTTATAGGAAGGACATCAAATGATTAGGAGCTTGATATAAAACTACAATGTCAGAAAATGGAAAGTACATTATAAGATTATATTTGTTACATAAACAAATGATAATTCCATAGTATAATCTCTTAGTAACCATTTTTTAAGTATAGAAACTTAGGGACAAGGAAACACTGTGTTTGAGGCTCCTTGAGGGTCACTCTACTAATTGAAGTTCTATAAATGAACAGTGGGATATTAAATAAAAATAAAATGCCTTCTCAAATAAGATATTTAATATACTTGAAGCAATTCAAATTGCTTTACTACATCACAATTCCTTCAAATTTGGAAAATCCAAAACTAGAAATTTTAAAAATTACCAACTATTTTTTGTAAATTAATATCTTAATTTTATATCATCTTTGAAATCTGTTAATGTTACAATGGATATCTGACACAGTAAAGAGTATAGACACAATATAAAGCAAAGATATTTATTTATTTTGCTCACCTTGCAGGTTTTGTCCATAGAGCCAGTTAATATTAGAGAGCAATCCCAATTGAATGAGGCACTGCTAATCTCAGCACAATGACCAATTAAGATATTTACCTTCCTACAACACAAAAATAATTAAAACTAGTGAAAGATATCTTACTTCAGTATATGCACATGAATAATGAGGCCAAGCCCATCTGTGTAAGCTAATCTAAAATCTGGTTTTTACAAAATAATATATTTGATGACAAATATGGCTCTACTATTGCTCAAAAAGAAGCTACCAATAATTTCATTTCAGCCGGGCACGGTGGCTCACGCTTGTAACCCCAGCACTCTGTGAGGCCGAGGCAGGTGGATCCACGAGATCAGGAGATAGAGACCATCCTGGCTAACACAGTGAAGCCCCGTCTCTACTAAAAATACAAAAAATTAGCCAGGCGTGGTGGTGGGCGCCTGTAGTCCCTGCTAATCGGGAGGCTGAAGCAGGAGAATGGCGTGAACCCAGGAAGCGGAGCTTGCAGTGAGCCGAGATCACGCCACTGCACTCCAGCCTGGGCAACAGAGCGAGACTCCGTCTCAAAAACTAACTAACTAAATAAATAATTTCATTTCAACAAAAATGTACTTAGATTTTAAACTATCAAAATAATGCTACTTAAGGCAACATTTCAAAAAGACATGGGTAACAAATAGTAAAGGCCGTAAGAAGTAGTCTTACACCGGGTGAGTGCACCCCTGGTTGTTCAGAAACTACACATCAAGTAACTGAAAGGTCCTTCTTCCTCTATCATTTCTTGTTGCATACATCTTGGTTGGCACCCCTGATAATTAGCCCCTCTATTAAATCACAGACAAATCCAAGAGTAGAGTTTTCCAACACAAATATGCTAATTTAGTTAACTTCCTAGCAACTAGGACCAAAAATCATTAGGAAGGAAATTGAAGTTCTTGGACTAAATTAATTTGGGAAATTAACTAAGAGTTTTTATTTATACATGATATTCCTGCCTAACATAATGACAAGCCATTGAAATCTGATTATCCATGAAATAAATAATAGCTATATAACCAGACTATTGCTAACATTCTCCTTTTATGTTGCTGTTTGTCATTATTTGCTCAGAATTCAAAGAATGCACATATTTTGTGAATCAGAAATATCATTAAAGAATGAATTAATTTACATTTTCAATATGTCCTATTTTTATGGAATCCAAAGCAGAGTTAATAGATAGTAGCTTAAACTAAAAAATAACAGAGGGTTTTCTGAACCCCCTGATCCAGGTTAAAACAATTCTTAAGAACTAAGAATTACCTTCCAGTATCAGCGTCCCACACTACAACGGTATGATCAAAAGACCCCGTGATGATTCTGTCTCCTGAGGTGTTAAATGACAAGGAGATGATTTCGGCAGAATGTCCCTAGAAAAAGAGCAGATACTGTCAAGTATACCTGCAGATAAAACAATTTCTGCAAGCGTACAATATCATAGTCTAAAAGGAAATGCTGGAGAAGGCCGAGCTCTAGGAACGGAGGTCAGCGGTTGGCTGGGGTGAGGATGGGGAGTGTCTGCACGTGGGCACAGGGTTCTTTTTGGGGTGATGGAAAGGTTTGAAAACTAGGTTTTGGTAATGGCTGCACAATACTGTGAGTTTACTAAAAATTAGTGACTTACACACAGCTAGTTCATTTAACTTAATAATATTGATTAAAAACAAAAGAAAGAGGTTGTATTTGGGGAAACTAGAGGACGTCCTTTACACTGCCTTGGAAACACTACAGAGCAGGGGATGCCATGGGCTAATAACACATGGTATGCAAAAGTAAACAGTGTATGAAATAAAACTAATTACTTTTAAAAAGGAAATTATTAAGATAACTTGACATGAAATCGATTGATAAATTCCTGCCTTTGGCCTGACTTTCAGCTGGTTACTGTCTAGTGTTAGTGAATCAAACTGTAAGATAATGGGAAGAAACCACTCTCCACAGCAGATTCTGGAACTCTGATAAGGGGATCCTGGTTGGAGTACATATATCCCTTGATTCCTTCATTATTTTAGTAAATTAACATAAGTATACTTTTAAATAATACAAAGAATTAGAAAAGTTGAATTATAACTTGATTTTTCTGATTGATTTCAAAGGACAAAATGAAATGTAGTTGAATATTCGAATTCTAAGTACGCAAAACAAATTCACTCTCTGGCGCAGACAGGTGTGCCAAGCAGGACCCCTCCCATTGAGTGCTCTTAGGCACGTCTGTAAAAGGAGTCATTTTAGTTGAAAGTGTGGCATTAATGGGGACCTTTCCCTGCACATTTGCCTGAAGGAAGAGATAGTAATGATTTAAAAAAAAAACGAAAAAAGAACTGAGAACAGAAAGAGTATACTTACACTAATAATGCTAGATACTCAGATTTAAGAAAGAAAAGCCATTACTGTTATTTTAAAATGGTGATTTTTTTTCTTTTGCAGTCCATGTTTTAACTTGCTTAGAAAAAGCTTTCTGAGGAAACAAATCATGTTTTTAAAAATGTACTTATAATTTTGAAAGGACAAGGAAACTGAATTTCCCATCTGGCTGTTCCTGCTGATTACAACATAGGGTCACTCTAGTTTTGTTGCAGTGACTTGGGCTGGGGTGGGAGGAAGGGGAGGGTGGGAGGAAGGGGAGGGTGGGAGGAAGGGGAGGGTGGGAGGAAGGGGAGAGTGACAGATGGCGGGGAGGTGCTGGGCACATGGTGGTGACACACAAGAGCATGCCCCACAGCACTCACTCTGTGGGCAGAGCCCTTTGGCCTTTTCCCCTCTGGTCACTTGCCCCTCTGTCATTTCAGACTTTTGTGATACAGGATGGCTGAAAGACCAGCGGGCAGAGGAGAGTGTGCTCACAGTCATTGCTCTAAGGATTCTCTTGTCATGGTTCTCCAGTTCTGCCTCTTCCAAAAGTGCCAGCCTCCACCTGCTTTCCTTTTAGCCAGAGAGATGGTGATGGGTTCTAAGATATAGTTTATGTGTTTTGCAGACTAAAGTTAGTCAAAATAAAAAGCTCCTTGGACTTCCCCAGCACCTCCACCCAAGTCTTTTGGAATAGCCAGGAAACCAGTAGGGACACTCTTTCACCACTAAAATTTGAAAACCAGCAACTCAACAACCTCCAACTTAGAGCTCATTTTGTAACAAAAACACAAATAAGAATGAACACAAATAACAGGCTTATTAACATTATTGACATACTCTTAAGGTGTAAACTTCCTCGCCATTCTGAATGTCCCACAATTTGGCTGTTGTGTCCATACTTCCAGTCGCCACCAATGTGCTTTGAGGGTTAAATGATAAACACACCTAAATTACATAAAATGGGAGAAATTTTAGGAAGACAGAGTTTCAAAGTGTTAATTATACACAGAAAATCTTCCAGATGCAATTACCTTACCAGATTCCATCTAATTCTTTGTACAAAACCCCACGTATGTGTGACCTGCTACCCCCAGGTTGAGTCCTTCAGAGTCCTCCTCTTGAAAAGAGGCTGCTTGTTCTCCCACAGCACCCAGCTAAGGCTTGGAGGGGCACTAGCTCCCTTTGCCACTTCCAGACCACAGAAGAACAAGAACAAAAGTGAAGCCCACCTCCTTTAAGATCCGTGCTATATGGCTCTCCTTCTCCTTGCTGCTGTCACCACAGTCCTTCCAATCACAGCCCCTCACTCATCAAGAGACTACTGGCTTGTAGTCTCAATGCCAAGTCTTAGGTGGCCTTCACGTGGGCAATCCATCCAGTTCCCCCAGACCCATGCCCCGGACAACTGTTCAGTAGTCTCTCCCATGGCCACACCATGGACCTTAGTATTATCTTCTCTAGAAGATTCACCACCAATTCACCAATCCAGGGTCAAAATTTCCCTTCCCACTCCCCTCCCCCAGAAGATCTTTCATCTCATTGAGACATCTGCCTTTTCTCCTGGTCCATCCTCCCCATTCAACTGACACCCCGGAAGCATCACTCCTCCCAGTATCCTCGACACTGTTAGCCCCTATCTATCTGATGCACCTTCCGTACCAACTGCTAACATTAACTTTTATCAGGCAAGGATTTTATCCAACCACCTGCTTCCCTGCCTCATCACCCAGCCAAGGTAGCTTAAGAGAACAGCACAGAAAGTTACTAGTATTGCTCTTTCATGCCTCTGTCCTCAGTAGAGTCCTCAGCACTGTTCCCTACTTTGCTTAAGATGCTTCTGGCTCTATACATTCTCCTGTTCCCCACTCCTGCCTCTACTTCCATCCTCACCCCTCCTCAACAGACAACCTGGCCTCCTTCCACTTCCCTGAGAAAACTCTCCTGTCAGGTAGGAACTTCCTGATCTTACTTTCCTTCCCCTCAGTCTCGGATGTAGAGGCATCCTTCCGCCCATTCTAAGAACCCCTTCCCTGTACACCTAGGGGAGATGCACCCACTAACTTTTCCTTCCCTGTAGACTAGATCCTTTTCAGTGGCCTGTAAATATGTTTGAGTAAATCCTCCCTTGATCTTATGTACCCCTCTTAGCAACTCTTCTTCCTCCTTTACAACCAAATTTCTTGGGAAACAGTCTACCATCATTTTTGTCCATCTTCTGCTCACTCGTCAACTCTTCTGAAACCACTCCAGCTAAATGCCCAATCCAGGTTTGGTCGGTCATCCCGCTTAACCTCCCTGATATCTGCAGCACTGAATCCTTTGTTCTCTAGTTTCCCTCCCTTTCTTCTTGTTTTTCTTTTTTCTTTTTGTATCATTTGAAGTTCTCTCTTCTCCATCCTCCCAAGATTCTGTCAGTCCCTCTCCATACTCTATATTTTCCTCTGGGCAATTTCAATTGCTCATTGGTTTCTACTGCCACCCAGATGCCAGTGACTCATGCATCCAAGTCTCTTTCCCAGACCTCACTGCTCAGTTCCAGTCCCAAAGAGCCAACTGTTAAATGGATGCCTCTGTTTGGCTATCACACAGGCAGCTTATATCAATCTAAGACACAAAAGTCATATAGATGCAAACCTGCTCCTCTTTTATGCACAGAATTGGTGAATGGCACTGCCCATCATGCAAACACAAAATCAGGGAATCCATCCTGGGTTCCCCTTTTCTTTTATGCCTCATAACTACTTAGTAACCAAGTTCTACTCACATTCTCTTCATCTATCTTTACAACAGGTCTTCATCATTTTTCACGTGGATTTCAGCAAGATCCCCAACTGGCTGATAACTCGGATTTTACCACCCTCCCATTTCTTTTTCACAGTGCCACAGAAATAATCTTTCCAAAGAGCACAGCTGATCATACCATCTCCTAGTCAAAAAGTCTCAACAGTGTGCCATTACCTACAAAATAAAATCCAATTCCTTAGCATAGTATATAACCTCCTGCATACTATGGCCCTTGCTTGCCTCTCCTACTTTAATTGCTCACACCCTGTGACCTGAATTTGAATGGGCTATAGGTGTGCCAAGGCATGGACACTTTTAACTCAGGCAGCTGGGCAGCAGCAGGAATCCTTGCCCATCACCTCTGGCCATGCACAGCAGGCAGCTCCCTTCAGTGTGCTGCAAATCCACATTCACATATTCTGCACATGCCACCACATGGAGGGTCAGGAAGCTCTGCTCTGATCACACAGAGCCACCTGAGTTTCAGGCACACATCACTGTTGCATGCCTCTTCTCAGCATTTTCCAGGGCTGCTCGGTCTGCCTGGAATGCACATGCCACCCCTCTGGGAAGTCTTTCCTGAACACCTTTCCTTGGCTCAGGAGGCCACACTGCTCCCTCTGTGTCCACACTGAAATCCCCATCCACTTCTGACACTTACAACACATCTTTGAACTTATCCATTGACACTTTTACTCCTTCTATTGAATTGTAAGAATTGTGTCTGATTCTCTCAGATACCCTAAGCATGTAGGCCAGGGCTCCACACATAGTCAATATTTAATAAATATTTATTAGATGGATGTTGTTGACTGTGAAAAAGATGAATGTCTCCCTAGGAATTATATCTAAAGAAAATATTCCCCAAAATCTAAAGGAGTGTGCAAAAATGGTCACACTCTAAGGACACACATTATGTTTTTCTTTGACTTTGGGCAAGTTACTTAAGCTTTCAATGCCTCAGTACCCTACTCTGTAAAATGGGAAAATACCTTCCTCTTAGGGTTGCTATGAGGCACAACTAAGCTAATACCTGTCTATGTAAAGGGGCTTAGGACAGTGCCTCTCAAACAGCAAGTGCTGTCAAAGGGTCAGTTATGTTTCACTGCAGTATTTCCAGTCACTAGCAAAGTAACTTCAACATAGCATGAGTTCTTTATGGATGAATATACCATGAATTTTTAGGATGAGTGTAAATAAATTTTACTTCTAAAATAAGCAGCTTGTTTTTGTTCCTGTTTTAAGGTGTACATAAATAAGCAGAATACAGGACCCTTTCCCATCTCCAGGTACTTTCCTTATCCTCAAGACATATTTCCAAGCATTTCACAGTCTGTTCTAGGTATCTTGTTCCTAAGTTCCAGGGGTGGGTGTGGGTGCTAGCACTTGAACACTGCTGGCAGATCGGCTGTCACCGACTATTCACAAAAGCTGTCGCCACTGTGGCTTGCTTTTCCTCCCTCCACCCCTGTATGTTCTTGTTTGCTCTTTCTGGTTCACAGCAGGTATCTTTTTTTCCAGTGAATATTGAGGTTAAAAGACCTGTCACTCTTTGTTATCAATTTCCTCTCTTCATCTACTAATAGTTATTAGCACATTCTTTTTATGTCTCTGTTCAATTCAAAAAGTACTGAGCTATATTTCCCTACTGACAGTTACAGGAGAGGTGGTTATATTTTGTTTCCTGCTTTAGCCTTTTCTCTCTTTGACCCTCAAAAGTCTCTATTATTTTTATACTACTACTGCATTGGTAAAGTGAGTACCTTCTATTTGTGGATTCTCTTTTGGTATTATCCACTTAAGAGTAACTTCAAAGTACAACAAAGTTAGTGAGTTAAATATCTAAAGAATCATTCTACCTAATGAAGGCCAGAAATGGAGGGAAAGGTGTGATCCCCATTAACAGACCAAAACATAACTTGGGGATTTGTTAAAATCAGATCAATTTTTCCTTATTTAAATCTTTGATTAAAAAGATTTAAGGTATTACTAATCATTAGGAGCAGCAGCCTGTTTATTTTTAAGAGCTATCATCTGTTCTTATGGAATGCCAATTATTGCACTAATTGTTATCAGATATGTCTCAGAATTGGTCAAGGACAAGGGCTTCCCAATAGTGAAAGCTGTTTCGAGTATCAGACTATTTAGGCAAATTTGAGCTCTAATGATATACAGAAAACAATCAGCCTAAATATTTAAATATTTCACATAGTAGTTTAAAAATTATTTTAAAAACTGTTTTCATAACTTAATTGACCCTCATTGAGTCAGTACTTTAAAGAAAAGCCAATTAAAAAGTAAGATTGGTTATTATATTTATAAATTTATCATATTACGTGTCTACTTAGTCAATGTAGGATACAGTTCTTTACAGAATCTGCAAGATATTAACTAGAGTAATTTTTAAATTGTATTGGTACCACCATATAAATATAGGCAGACTAAAAACATGGGGTAGAATTTGAAAATTAATTATAAAAGTAGCCCCACTACTTTTATAATAGAATCCTAAAAAGAAACAGCAACATAAAATATAATAATAAGGCCAGGTGCAGTGGGTCCCGCCTGTAATCCCAGCACTTTGGGAGGCCGAGGCGGGTGGATCACGAGGTCAAGAGATTGAGACCATCCTGGCTAATACAGTGAAACCCCATCTCTACTAAAAATACAAAAAATTAGCGGGGCGTGGTGGCGGGCGCCCGTAGTCCCAGCTACTCGGGAGGCTGAGGCAGGAGAATGGCATGAACCCAGGAGGCGGAGCTTGCAGTGAGCCAAGATTGTGCCACTGCACTCCAGCCTGGGTGACAGAGTGAGACTCCATCTCAAAGAAAATAATATATATATATACATAAAATAATAATAAATTGTTAAATATACTCACTATTTCTGCTGTATGACCCCTGAAGGTATGGTAACATTTTCCTGTTTCCACACTCCAGAGTTTACAAGTTTTATCAAAGGACCCAGTGGCGATTTTGTCACTAAGATTTAAAAGAAATGTAGATTATTTAAAAAAAGACACATTATATAATAAACTGAACTAAGATGAGATATTAATACATGAGTAAAAAATTTACTTCACTTCTAAAGCTATAAGCAATCTTAAATTTGTTTCAGTGGATAATAAAATAAAAGTCTAATTTTTGAGTGGTATCGATTTACACATTTAATTTTAAAGGTTTTATATTAAAGTTATAGGTATATTTGTTTGGGATTATAATAATTTTTAAAATGAGTTTAATGAATGTAGCAAAAGGTTTAGTTTAGAAAATTACTTACAAATTAAAATAAATAATGTATAGTATGAACTGTGTAAACATAGAAAAATTATGTTAATAAGTATATGGAAAAGAATAACATTGAATATAAAAGAGAAATGAAAAAAGATAAATCCCATTAAAAATATGGTTAATAAGGTTTTGAGAATTTAGACGGTGCTTGTCCTCTTAAGGAAATAATGCCTATATTATTCCAGTTGTAAGAGGGTTTAGAAAGGAAATACAAAGACTTCAGTCACTTTCAACTAAGAGGCTTCTCATATTGACTGCGGGGCAGAGCTAACATCAACAACCAACAAGCAAGAGTAGATTACCCTGTTTGGCCTTTGATCTTGGAACTAAAACCTTTCTTTTAACCCTGGCTTACAACTGTCTTTTACACCAGCTCTTCAAGATGTTCACCCAATTGGATTATCATTTACAGTACAAGCTCAATTTCCCAAAGTGTAAGAGATCTCACAACCCAACACATATATCCTAAAGCAGACTAGAAATGTATATTTATCCAAACTAACATTGATGCCTTGATTCTCCCCCTTGTCCCAGGACACCCATATTTCTATAGTGTCTAGGTGGTCTCTCAGACTAAAGCAAAGTGCCATCCTCTTTGTCAATGCTCCAAGGGCAGCTTGTACTGGCAAACACTCACCCACCCAAAGCTTCCTAACAGAGTGTCTGACCTAGCTTTCTCCTCTGGTTTCCAGCCCAGGGCATTTTACTTCAGCTGCTGATGTCTTCCAATACGTGCTCAAGATAAGCTCAAAGCCCTGTGCTTTTTTTTTTTTTTTTTTCTTTTTTTGAGACAGAATTTTATTCTGTCACCCAGGCTGGAATTCAGTGGTGCGATCTCAGCTCACTGCAACCTCAACCTCCGGAGCTCAAGCAGTCCTCCTACCACAGCCTCCCAAGTAGCTGGGACTACAGGCACATGTCACCATGCTTGGCTAAATTTTTTTTTATTTTTTGTAGAGATGAGGTCTCACTATGTACATTCTTTATCAGTTCCCTCAATTCATTTTTCCATTCTTCCTGGCCCTCAAACATGAGTGTGGAGTTGCTGTTGTTTCTTGACTGATATCTATTCTATCACAAACTGTTCTCTATATCCACATGACACCACATTATAGAAGATATCTCTCATGTCAATGTGTTGAGAATTACTTTATTGAGTCAAAGCTTACTCCTGCCCTAAGGTATAAAGCAGATAAACAGTAAATTGGTTGAAGTTTTTCCTTTCTCTCTCTCTCTCTCATACACACACACACACACACACACACACACACACACACACTCCCTCTTATTCTTTGGTGATTGTGTTGAATTTATGCTACTGAAACCCCAATGACCCCAAAGTGCAATGAGAAACACTGCATTCACGCATACATAAATCATCAGGCGAAGATAACTGATTGGACACGTGGGTTTTTCATCAGGGGCTCTTGGTAGAATTCAGTTGAAGAGTCAAAAAGTATCCCTCACCTCCCCAACAAGAGAAAACTTCATTCTCAGATAGACACCCAAACACATCATGTTTGTTAAGTAGACTATTAAAGGATATGGCATTATGTTATAGAGAATATCCTTTAAATAGCATTGCAGTGAAAGTAGGAATTATACCAGATGTAAAATAGTGTCATTTATAATTTCAATAAAATCTTTATCTTTTCATAAGCTGGCATAATAAGGTATTATAAAAACTGTCATTCTCTGGAATATAAAAATGCATAGATCAAAGTTAAATTTTCTAAAACTTAATTGGAACGCTTAATCACTTTAATGTACCAATTTAAGTTGGTGCCATCACAATTAACATGTTTTGAAAGGGTACTACATTTCTAAAAGATATTATATTGGCAACCTAGATATCAAGTTTTTTAACTGTAGTATAAAATGTCTATTCTAAGTGTATCAAATTTTTATGAAATTCCTCTATTCTTCCTGCCCCTTCCCAAGCAATGAGTGTATTATGGTATCATGAGTGTATTGTCATATCTGCATCCTAAATGACCTCCTTGTGTCTTGTTTCTTCTCACATCCAAACCCTCTGACCTCTTCTGTCTGCCAGAGCTATCCTTCTATTTAAAACATCACTTTCATTTTTCCCCTTTTTGTTCCCAAATCCTTGATGGCAACTTGGTCCCACAGGACAGAGTTTAAACTCCACTGAATGCTCTGACCTCACGCACTTCTGTTTTTCAACATGAAATGCTCACTGCAGAGACTGGCCACTGAGTCACTACAGAGACTGGCCACTGAGTGTGCCCGATGAATCCCCTCCTGGAGACACTGAGCTGCTGAGGTCTCTTTGCCCCGTGTGTCCTCTCCACTGCTCACCACCCTCCATCCTTCTGGCATCTTCTTTCGGCTCACACCATCTCCAAAGACTCTTACCAGGAGAAATCACAGTGATCACTTTCTTGTCTTAATTGTTAAATCATTTACTGTTTTGTTCTAGTCATCATAACACTATAGTAAATGAACCATATTTATAGAACCAGCTTCCTTTATGGAAAAATTCATTTAGCATGTGCAATCATGAAAAAATACTTGCTTGTCTAAAAAAGGTATATTCCATTAGATATAAATATATATTTATTTGCCAATCTTTTCACAAGAGGCCACTGTCTTTCTTTGACTGTGTGTCAGCTAAGTGGAGTTCACCATCTGTCTTTCAGAAATCGTATCAAACCTCTACAATATCTAGTTTTCTTTTCTTGCAAGTGGAATGAGAACTTAAAGAACTTAAACATACGTGCAGAACAATCTGAGTACAGAATTTTTCTAGATTTTGACAGTGTGATTTCCAATTGAACATTGATCTCCTCCACAACTTCATTTAGTTGTGAAACAATTTTTCAAAGATTTGCCTTATTTATGCTTCCCTAGAAAAGACCAGCTTTCTTTTCACACTCATATTTTATTGGTTTATGTAATATTTAGTTAAATTACACGTTATGTTACACAATTACAATTGAAAGTACAACCAACATAAGCGCATTGGTTGACAAATACAACTAACTCTTGATCAGCTTAGAACCTAACCAGCAGGAGGAGGATGCCCATTCCGGCGGGTATGTTCACTGCTATAGATGTTCAGGGTGCCATGGGAATCAGCAGTGTGTCATGAGGAAGAATAGAAGACACTGTGCAATCTCCTGTTCATTATCTAGAGGTTGGTTTAAAAATACTTCTGTTGTACTTGGTATTGTTATTTAGCATGTTACCACACACATTTTTTTCCTGCCTGGCAAGACTGTAAATTAACTTCTAAATGAAGTAAACCATGCTGTGTGTGTCTGTCACATTCCCCCAGAGGCACCAGCCCAGAGCTGTGAACATCAATAGGCAGTGCCTGTCGGAACTCCCAAGGATTGAGAGTCAAGTCTTGCCTGAGCACGAACTCCAGCTCTCCTCTTTACTACCGTGCGATCCTTGGAAGCATATTTGAACCTTGTATTCTTTTTTTTTTAAGACAGAGTCTCACTCTGTTGCCCAGACTGGAGTGCAATGGTGCGATCTGGGCTCACTGCAACCTCTGCCTCCTGGGTTCAAGCGATTCCCCTGCCTCAGCCTCCCGAGTAGCTGGGACTACAGGCATGCGCCACCATACATTACATACATTAGCCCAGCTAATTTTTGTATTTTTAGTAGAGATGGGGTTTCACCACGTTGGCCAGGCTGGTCTCAAACTCCTGAGCTCAAGTGATCCACCGCCTCGGCCTCCCAGAGTGCTAGGATTACAGGCGTGAGCCACCACGCCCAGCCTTAAACCTTGTATTCTATATGCGGATAGTGATAGCTAACCCAAAGACCCTTTTAAGCTTTGAAGGAGGTATTTAAAAGGCTTCCAAAGCACATACCAAGCACTCAATAAATTTAGACCTCTTGTCTTCTTCCCTTTCTCCCCAAGCAGATGGAGGGATGAATAAATGAATTAATAAACAAATAAGTGAAGGGATGAACACACCCGTAAGGATTGTTGAATGCTATGGCATAAACCACATTCCTGTGGCCCTCCAGCGTGTTCAGCTCCTCTCCAGACGCAGTGTCCCAGAGCTTGCACGTCCGATCATAGCTTCCTGTGATAAAGCTAACACAAGGAATATAAACACGTTGCAGGGAAGAATGGCAGTGTGTTAATAAAGACTTCATGTTTTACCTGTAGGATAATAACTCTATTTATTATGCTGTTTGTTTGTTTGTTTGTTTGTTTAAGAGGGAGTCTCGCTCTGTCACTCAGGCTGGAGTGCAATGGCGTGATCTCGGCGCACTGCAACCTCTACCTCACAGGTTCAAGCAATTCTCCCGCCTCAGCCTCCTGAGTAGCTGGGATTACAGGCACCCACCACCACGCCTGGCTATATTTTTTGTGTGTGTTTTTAGCAGAGATGGGGTTTCACCATGTTGGCCAGACTGGTCTTGAACTACTGACCTTAAGTGACCCGCCTGCCTCAGCCTCCCAAAGTGCTGGGGTTACAGGTGTGACACACCACGCCTGGCCTATTATGCTTTTTACAATGGAAATCATGTGTGCAGAACAAAAAGTTAAATTGAGAACAATGTCTAAATTGGGATATATTCCATTGTTCCCTCCCCCAACCCCCACCCCACCCCCGAGACAGAGTCTTGCTCTGTCACCCAGGCTGGAGTGCAGTGGTGCGATCTCAGCTCACTGCCACCTCTGCCTCCGGGGTTCAAGCGATTATCCTGCCTCAGCCTCCCAGGTAGCTGGGATTAGAGGTGCGCCACCATGCCTGTCTAATTTTTTTTTTTATTTTTAGTAGAGATGGGGTTTCACTGTGTTGGCCAGGCTGGTCTCCAACTCCTGACCTCGTGATCTGCCCACCTCGGCCTCCCAAAGTGCTGGGATTACAGGCGTGCGCCACCACACCTGGCCTATATTCTGTTTAATAAACAAATGAATGGTTCCTTTAACATAGCTATTCTCCTACAGGAATAGTGAATAGAGTGTAATGTAAAATAGCAGCATCTTAATCATTCCTTCAATATTCAATTAAGAAAGAGACTTTCTTTCTAAAATATCTCTGAAATCAAAATATTGCTTCAAAAGTATAACAAAAATATATTTCCCCAGCACAGAAAACAACCCACAAAATTGAAAAGCCAGTCTGAATGTCAAGTGGTAACAAGAAAAGGTGAAGAAAAGTCTAATAGCGAAACTCAACTAAACAGGCAGGTTGACAAGACAAGGTATCTTTGATTCTCTCCTAGGTATTTTCCTTCTACCATCTTCTCCCACAGACTTCTTCTACCTTTGGACAGATGCAAACTCGCATTTGCAACTATACACATATATACTATAGATACTTTATGGGTTGAAATATATGCCCTCAAAATTTATATGTTGAAGTCATAATCCCCCAGAACCTTAGAATGTGAATGTATTTGGAAATAAGATCTTGCAGATATAATTATTAATAGTTAAGTTACGGCTGGGCGTGGTGGCTCACGCCTGTAATCTCAGCACTTTGGGAGGCCAAGTTGGGCAGATCACCTGAGGTCAGGTGTTCGAGACCAGCCTGACCAACATGGAGAAACCCCGTCTCTGCTAAAAATACAAAAAATTAGCTGGGCGTGGTGGCAGGCACCTGTAATCCCAGCTACTCAGGAGGCTGAGGCAGGAGAATTGCTTGAACCCTAGAGCTGGAGGTTGCAGTGAGCCAAGATCGTGCCATTGCACTCCAGCCTGAGCAACAAGAGTGAAACTCCATCTCAAAAAAAAAAAATTATTAAGTTAGGATGAGATCATGCCGCAGTAGGGTGGGCCCTAGTTCAATACATCCTTATAAGAACAGGCCATATAGGCACAGACATGCACAGGGAAAACCATGTGAAGATGAGGGCAGAGCTCAGGGTGATGCTTCTCCACACCAAAGATTGCCAGCAAACCACCAGAAGCTACAGGAGCTGTGGAACAGCTTCTTTCCCAAGGCCTCAGAAGGAACTGACCCTGATGACACCTTGACCTCTGACCTCTAACCTCCCCAACTGTGACACAATACATTTTGGTTGTGTAAGCCACTCAGTTTGTGCTACCTTATTATGGAAGCCTTAGCAAACTGCTTATTTTATGTCTAGTTTGTGTTTATTTTATGTCTGTAGGTCAAGACGAGACTTCTCCCTCATCTCTCCTACCTAGCACGTCAGCTCCCAAGCTGATCACAGCCATGCTCTCAACAGAGACTTGAAGCTGCTGTTTGCCATACCCCAAATCACTGACCTAGATGGAAAGTGCCTGCTCTGAATAGACTGATCACAACCAACCAAGTTAGATATGAGGCCACCCTGCCCGACTCATTCCTGAGTTGAGTTCTTCAGTAGCTACATTTGCTGAGAACCCAATATGCCTCCCATTCACTGCAGCACAAATACGACAGAAAACTCAGATTAGAAGAGTGGGAGAAAGGGTTTATATTTCTCCTCAGTATCCAAGGGAGTACTGAAATCAGAAAAATGAATATATTATGTACTTATCTAACTGGAATCTTTGATAAATAAACACAGAAATTTGTTTCACTGCTAAAAATTAGACATAAAAAGAGAATCTTACCATGAGCCCGATTTGTTAAGTGCAACATTAGTCAGTGGCAATATATGTGCTTTGAGAACCTTCAGTGAAAGAAAACACCATTTTTTAGACTCAAACCAAATTAAATTTGTTAGTTATAACTTCAAACCAATGAAGACATTCAATTTTTTCTTAATTATACATCAGAAACAGGCAATATCTGATTTACCTTTAGACAGTGCTATGTGGCATCTTATTGATAGCACTAATTTGTAACATTTTCTTTTACATATGGCATGTGGTTTTGTATACATGTATAAACTGGGTATGTAGGAAATACACTAAATATGTTTCAATAAAGATTTGACAATGTATTATGACTTTATGAATCCTGAAGCTCCTTTAGTGTCAGAATATGTCTTCCTTATCTTTCAATCCCTACAACATCTAACATACAGTGAATGTTTAATGAATATTTATTGAATGCATATACATAAATTGGACAATCTATTAAGAGTGATTGGCTGGGCTGGGACAGTCCAAGTTATGTCTGTTACCAAAATGTAACTATGAATAGCATCTACTTTCACCATCAAAAATGTTCCCTTTGGAGAATAAATTGAGACACGCTAGTTATACAGCTCATATTTGAAATTAAACAGTGCCACCTACTGGACAAAGAAATGTTACAAGACTATAACATCCTCTTCCAGAAACGAATGCCTGGATATTTTGTATCAGGTGAGTCTATAACTAATAATTATATGTTACTATCATAATTATATTTAAATCATAAAAGATAAAAGCAGTGTAATATGAAGTAATTCTAAGGTAATGACAAAGGAAAATTAAAAGCTTTCCTTGAAGTACTAAACGACTATATTTGCTATATTTAATCATCAAAAAAACTATTTAAAAAGCATATTTACATCACATTAAAATTATATGTCATACAAATAAATAATTTACTGAAATATGGTTTAGTTCACATGAAAGCAGAAAATACGAAATGTTGATTTGTCATAAAACACAACTTCTTAACGTTACTTTAACTAGAAAAAAAGCTTTAGTTATTCCATAACTTAAAACTATCTTAATAATAATAACCCTTTAAATTTATCATTATATGAAGAGCTGAAATCTTTATTTAACCTCTCAAGGAATAAGTGTTTTGGATTTCACTCATTCATTTAACAAATAATTATTGGGACAATCTTAGCAAACATATGTGAGGCACTACAATCAATCACTGACATGCCTTTTTCATGAAAAAATATTTTTAGGGAAAGAAAAATTAATAAAATATCAATCATTTCACTGAAATTCTTCTATCTGATTGTTTTTAAATCCATTACCTTAAAAAGATAGAACGTGTGATTGCTGTTCTGGCCGAGTTTCTCTTGCAACCTCTGTATCAAAAGTTTGACTTGCTCTGTTCGTGAAGCTGTGAGTAGAGGTTCTGCCTTCTGGATTTCTTCTACTAACGCACTGACATCAGTGCTGAAATACACCCAAAAAAGAGTTTCTTTTATTTTATGTCAAAATTTGCATATACCTATATTACATGAAGAATTGATTGTATTGCTTCATGAAGCACATTTATAAAATGTCAAAAACACCATTATCTTTCCCAAGAGATATCTGGGGGTGGGGCGGGGAGGATCATACAAATCAGTAAATAGATGATGGCAGGAAAGCAAGAAGCTTGGATTTTCTACAACATATTTTTCCAAAGCTAAGGCTTGTTTCATGGAGGGTGTGCCAAGAGTCTAATGTTCTCACCTAGTGTTGTGGTTTGAATGTTTGCGTCCGCTCTAAAATTCATGCTGAAACATGTTCACCAATGTCACAGCATTAAGAGGTGCGGCCTGAATAGGTAATTAAGTCACAATGGTGGAGCCCTTCTGAATGGGATTAGAAGCCCTGATAACAAGGCTTGACAAAGAGAGTTCATCCCTTTTGCCCTTCTGCCCTCTGCCATGTGAAGACGCAGCATCAAGGTGCCATCCTGGAAGCAGAGTGCAGCCCTCATCAGATGCCAAACTTGTAGGGGCCTTGATCTTGGATTTCTCAGTCAGAACTACGAGAAACAAATAACCCTGTTTCAGGTCTTTCTTTTTATGGCAGCACAAAATGAATGAAGACACCTAGGAAGGCCTAGTCCATACTAGTTCTGAACATGAGCTCTTTTTCTTTCTTTCCTGTTTCTTTTGAATGAACATGTATTGAATGTTCCCAGCAGCATACTTTTCACTTTACATATGTTCTCTTATTTAATCCTGTAACAATCTGCTAATGTAATGCTTTTATCATAATTATTTTAGAGATGAAGAAACTGAGGTTCAGAAAGATTAGATTTAAAATATTTTTAGGAAAAGAGAAAAATGCCTAACCATAAATTTAAAGCATCATAAGACTAATATTAATATTTATTATAGACTAAAATATTGTTTCCCTGAAAGATAACTGGTCTGAAAAATATACAGATAGATTCAAATTTTCTCTAGCATTCAAATAATTCATAGAAATTCTGAAAAATGTTGCTGGCACAGAATAATATTCGTTCAAAAAAAGGTATCAATGTATATACACCATGAAGCATCCAAAAAAGAGCCATTTCACAAATCATGTCACACACGTGTCCAGAAGATGCACTATGCAGATTCCCCCACCTTTAAGAAAGAATCAAGCCCAGAGTCAGGGTTGGAGCTTTGTTGCCTGACAGCTTCTAGCTGCAGCTCTTTCAGGCTGTACCTTGGCATTCCAGGCCAGGGCTGCCTCTTCTCTGGTGGCTCTCCGTCCACAGCTGAGCAGGGGCAGAGCAAGAGCCTGGCCGTTTCTCCCTGTGAGGCACTCCTCTAGCTGGCAAGTTTTGCTCCTGAGCTCTTCCAGATTGGCAGAGATTCTGTTGTCCCGCCTTCTTCATCGAGGTCAGATGGCTCCTCCCGCCTGATCCTGCTTCTGCTTCATGCCCTGGACTGTCACAAGTGTCACTGCCCAATAAACCTTTGACTCACCCACTTCTGTCTCAGTATCCAATTCCCATGAATGTGGCCCCTGATAAGTATCCCCCTCTTCACCTCATCAACAAACATTAAGCTCCAGTTTTGTGCAAGGCACCGAGCTAGGAACCTGCTCATTCAATTGACATTTATTGAGTTGGTACTATTGCTTTAGCACTGGGTGTGTAAAAGATATGGTCCCAGCTCTCAAGAAACATAATCTATTAGATTAGGAGTGAATATTTTGAACAAAAATGAACCAGGAACCATCCATAATAATAACTTGGATAAACCCTGAGATATTTCATTGTCAAAAAGATAATTAATTTCATAACAATTAAAAGGGTAAAAATGCCCCTTTGAAACGTTTTCAACAACTTATATAAAAACAGATTTCCTCGCAAGATCCAAATTAACCAGATAATCTACACGCTCCAACCCTGTAGGATTTTCATGCAATAATTCCAGCATGTCATCTATGGTGCCAGTGTTTTTACAGGCACAATACTTCCAGATTCTTGCACAAAACTAGAAATAAAATTCACACTTTTTTGAGACATTTATTTACTTTCTCATATCACCAAAAGGTCATGTTTATGAGTGGCTATGCCTTATATCTCCTCAGGAAAGCACAGCACGATTGAGTGACTATAGTTAATATGAAGACTTTCAAAGTGTTGAGTGCCTGGATTCACAGCCCACAAGTCCTTTTTGAAATCACCTAATAATTCATACTTCTTAGATATAAAAATCTGTGGTTTTGCAGAATGTCTAGCTGGAGGTTATTCTCTCATATAGAAGCTTATCTGTACCACTTGTGTGATGTTCTATGTTGTACAAGTTGTTTCTCAAACTAGACAAAAAGCCTATCAAGTGTAGGGATTATGAGTAATATCTTTATAGCCTCTTATAGAATCTAACCCAGATTAGATTCTTACATATGTGTTGAAGGTACATATACATAATTGCTGACTAAATAAACAAATGTCTCACAAAGAAACTTCCTGCATGCTAGCATCATCAAACAAATCAATAACATGTTCCATTTACAAAAATCACAGGTTGGGTTTGATATTAGGCCTCATCTTTTCTGAAAATAACAAAGATTGTTGTATTCAATGAAACTATCTGTGCCACTGTTCATTCTTTGATTTTAAAAAAATATCAATTGACTACCTTCTTTGTGCCAAGCACCCGAAATAAGACTTGGACCCTACATAGACCATCATCCTCTGAGCCATGCCCCAGCCCCACCCTAGACACGTGCTCCCAGAAACATCAAACCTCTCAAGTGGCAGCAACTCCAGGATTAAGAGAGCCCCTCTCTCATCAGTTACGGTGTCAAGTGGACTCATTATAAAACTAGAGAGCAGCCCATATAAGAAAGCTCCTTTTGCTTACGGTCTCAGGCCACAAACCTAAAACACAACATTTTTGTTTTGTTTCTTTTGTGATTTTCACCCATTGAGATTATTTTCACCTTATCTGAACTTAGGCTCTCACAGGATAATCACTAGTCTGACTCTCTCTTGAAGTAGGATGTTTGTTTGTTTGTTTGTTTGTTTACAAAGACAGAGTCTTGCTATTTTGTGTTGCCCGGGCTGGTCTCAAACTCCTAGCCTGAAGTGATCCTCCTGCCTCGATCTCCCAAGATGCTGGGATTACAGGTGTGAGCCACCACACTTGGCCTTGGCCTTGAAGTGGAGTTTTGTATGAGATTTCTTTTCTTTTTTTTTAAAGACAGAGTCTCACTTTGTCACCCATGTTGGAGTACAGCACCGCGATCTCAGCTCACTGCAACCTCTGCCTCCTGGGTTCAAGCAATTCTCCTCCCTTAGCCTCCTGAATAGCTGGGACTACAGGCATGCACCACCATGCCTGGCTAATTTTTGTATTTTTAGTAGAGACGGAGTTTCCTCATATTGGCCAGGCTGCTCTCGAACTCCTGACCTCAAGTGACCCTGCTGCCTCGGCCTCCTAAAGTGCTGAAATTACAAGTGTGAGCAACCACGCCCAGCTATTTGCATTAGATTTACTAAAGAGAATGAACTCTGGGTGTTATTACATCACAAGAGGTTTCCTCTGGGCTAATACCAAGCTTCAGTAATAGAGATTAGGTCTCCCTTTTCTGCCCCATGACAATTAATGAGGAGGAACATATGCAGTCAGCCCTATGAAGTATTTAATAAGAAAATAACAGGCTCAGTAATATTCTTAAAACTCAGTAACAAGTACTTCTCAAAAATGTAAAGGTCACTGGTTGGGCACAGAGAATCGCTTGAACTCAGGAGGCGGAGGATGCAATGAGCCGAGATCGAGCCACTGCACTCCAGACTGGGCAACAAGAGTGAAACTCTGTCTCAAAAAAAAAAAAAAAAGGAAAGAAAAAGAAAGAAATTAAGGTCAGCAAAAATAAGGGAAGTCTGAGAAACGGTCGCAGCTTAAGGAAGCTTAAGGACACATGATGGCTAAATGTCATGTAGGATTCTGGATGGAATCCTGGAACAGAAGAAAGGAATTAGGGAAAAACTAAGAAAAACTGAATAAAGTGGGCCTTAGCTAATAATTATGTATCATACTGGTTCATTAATCCTAATAAATGTACACCGCTAATCTGAGATGTTAACATCAGGGGAATCGGGGTGTGGAAACTCTACCTTCACGGCCTTTCTAAAATCATAAACTAAAAGGTTTATTTTTTTAAGACCTTAGAAAAAAAAGAAAAGAGTGATAACCCTTTTCCCACTTCCTCTTCATTCAGCAAGACCCTCAGATACAACTCCCTGAAACAAACAGAAACTAACACACCACAGAAGAACAATTTTTAAAACATAATGTATTATCTGCAGTTTATGCAGCTCATCCACACATCACTCTGTGTCAAGGCTTCCCAGTGAACATTTATTTGTTGAATCCTACAGCTTACTTACCTGGGACCAAGATCAAGCAAATCTATGGACTTAGTCTTTAATTCTCCATGTTTTTCATATTCCAACATAATTCCTATAGAAATAAACAAACATGTTATAAAACACTTACGATAACCACCTATGTCAAAAGTTAACCTACCTTGCCACAGTTTTTTCCATTTTTATTTTTAAAATTTTTAATTTTTTAACAAAAAATAAGCAGTGATATCTAGTTCCAAAACAAGATCATGTAGACAAACTTTTCCCTGGTCCTTCCCTCTAAATATAACTAAATACCCTTGAAATTGTCCAATAGACAATGAAAAAATAATAGAAAGTTGGATGGAAGAAGGTAGACTGGCTATAGGTTTCAGGGCTTGAGGAACGACTACATGGTGAGATTCCCGGATTTTCTTTTTATCACCGCATTCCACACCCCAAAACTAGGACAAGAGGGCCCTATTCCCTGACCCACAAATGGGGCCCCTGCAAGCAGTCTGATCCCCCAGTGGAAGCTTGGGGCTGTTCCAGTTCCCAGTGCACATTCTGGGCCCCAGCAGGCAGTTGGATCTGGCTGCAGCCCCATCAACAAAGTCCTGGGACCTCCCAGACCCCACTCCACAGCCAGGCCATTGGTGGACAGTCCTATCCACTTGCAAAAGGGGCAACGGTGACATCCAGGGATGTCTCAGACCTCATTCCACAACCAGGCACTGAGGCAGCCTCAGCAAAGCCCTGCGTTTCCCTGCCTTCCAGCCAGCAGCATAATCAGGCCGGGAAGTGACCAGGAAGGCCACTCAGTGACAGCAGGCCTACTAGGGAAGTACCTTCTGCGCCCTGCAGGTGGCGCCAGCAGTGACTGAGCAGGAGCCTTAGCAGTACCCGAAAAAACAAAGGACAGTAACATTGCAAGAGCCTAGGAAACTACAGACACCATTGTAACCAACGCCCGCAAAAGTAGCCCAAGAGCACATATGACAAATCTAAGCAGATTTCGCCAAATTAGAAGGTTTAGATAGGATCAAGGATCCCCGTAATAATCAAAACGTCTAGGATACAATTTTTTAAAAATCACCTATTATACCAAGGACAATCAACAAACACCAATACCAAGATGAATCAGAGGTTGGAATCATCTGACAAGGACTTTAAAGAAGATATTATAAAAATCCTTCAATAATCATTTACAATTTCACTTGAAACAAATGAAAAAATGGAAAATCCCAGAAAATATTTATTAAACCAAATGAGGATTATAGAATTGAAAAATATGATAATGAAAATAAAAAACTTGCTAAGCGAGTTCAAAAGTAGAGATGACAGAGAATAGAATCTGTGAACTTGAAGATGGATCCATAGAATATATTCCATCCGAACAGCCCAGCGCTAATAAAAACTGGACAGAGCCTCCTAACCACCTTACTCTACTGCCTCTGCCTGTGGATATAAACTAGTACATCTCAAAAATTTGGCTTCAGGATCACCTTACACTCTTAAAAATTATTTAGGACACCAAAGAGTTTTTGGTTTTTTTCCATATTAAAAACTAAAATTGAGAAATTTTTTAAATATTTATTAAGTTGTTTTAAAACAACAGTAATTCATAGCATGTTATTTTTATAAAGTTTTTGTAAAAATAACTATATTTTCTTGCCCCTAAAAAGAGTAAGAAGAGTAGCACTGTTTTATACTTTAACAAATCTCTAATATCTGGCTTAAGACAATGGATTCTCATCTCTGCTTCTGCATTCAAGCTTCTGCTAAATGTTTTAGACAAAGTATAAGAAAAGAATGTAGTCAGACACTGATACATAGTTGAAAAATGAAGGAGTATTATAATTGCCTTTTTATATCATTGTGAACATTTTTTGATATTAAAACTCAACAAATGGTAACTTCTTAAAATTAGTTGCAATATAGAATCTGAAACCATATTAGTGAATTTTCCATATACTTGCATTAAACCTCATTGGTCTATTTCACACTTTTGATGGATCTTTTATTCATGCATGGTCCATGCATAATCATGCACTGGACATTTGAAAAATACTGATCTACTAAGTTATGCATATATTGTAACTGTTGACATATTTCATCACACAATATCAGAAAGTAACATTTACCATTTTCACTACCAATTTTTATCATAAGAAAACTCTTACTGTTGGTAAGCTGTCAAGATTATGGTGGTAAACAAAAGTTTTCTGAACTTATACTTTTTGCTTGAAAGCTAAAATACATCACTAGCAAGAAATGCTGGTATTTTTGCTTGAAAGTTGTGGGCTCACATTCTTCATTTTCAAGAAAATGTCTGCCAAAATGTCTGAGTCTGAAAACCATGTTGTTTCTCAGTCACTCTTTCAAGTAAAAATGCTTTTCCATGAAAAAAAGTTGGTTCATCTCGTAATTCAAGCAACCACCTATATTTTCCTTAAGACAACTGTATTAGTTTGTTTTTATATTGCTATAAAGAACTGCCCAAGACTGGGTAATTTATAAAAGAAAGAGGTTTAATTGACTCACAGTTCCTCATGGCTGGGGAGGCCTCAGGAAACTTACAATCATGGTGGAAGGAAAGGAGGAAGCAAGGCACCTTCTTCACAAGGTGGCAGGAAGAGAATGAATGCAGGAGGAACTACCAAACAATTATAAAACCATCAGATCTTGTGAGAACTCACTCACTATCATGAGAACAGCATGGGGGAACCTCCCCCTGATCCAATTACCTCCACCTGGTCTCTCCCTAGACATGTGGGGATTGTGGGGATTATGGGAATTATAATTCAACATGAGATTTGGGTGAGGACACAAAGCCTAACCATATCAACAACTATCAGACTTCACTGTAGAGCAGAAGTGCTTTCTTAGTACTTCCTATTTCATCACCTGGAATACTCAAAATACATGCACTCCTATGTTAATATTTTGCTACATTAATAATTTTTACTGCTTCATCAAGGAAATCCTCAAGCAAAACTAGGTTGTTCTGTTGGGATTTTTTTGATGTTTTCCTATTGTGAGTGTGTGTCAGTGAAGAATAAATACAGTGACCACTATTAGAGTTTGGTGTCACTGCCTCGATTTGTAGTAAGGCACCAGCAGTTTCACCTTCCACTGCTTCTGCACCATTAGTGACAATGTCAGCACAGTGTAGAAAAGGAAGTAACATCTTATTGTTATTATGAAAAATAAGTTTGACCTTGAGACCCTGCTGAAAGTGTTCAAGGGTTCCCAGGAGTCCTCTACAGTTTGAGAATCACTGCTATAGACCATAGTTTGATATAACAGATATAATTCTAGCAGTATTTCAGATCAAGGGAAAATAGGAAATGTTGCCAAAACACTCTATTTACTTTTCAAAAGCACTGAGCCATTGAGAAAGAATGTGGCAGAGGCCAAGTGCAGTGGCTCACGCCTGTAATCCCACCACTTTGGGAGGCCAAGGCAGGTGGATCACTTGAGGTCAGGAGTTTGAGATCAGCCTGGCCAACATGCTGAAACACCGTCTCTAATAAAAATACAGAAATTAGCTGGCATGACGGCAGGCACCTGTAATCCAAGCTACTTGGGAGGCTGAGGAAGGAGAATCGCTTGAACCCAGGAGGTGGAGGTTCCAGTGAGACAAGATTGCACCACTGCACTCCAGCCTGGGCGACAGAGTGAAACTCTATCTCAAAAAAAAAAAAAAAAAAAAAAAAAAAGAATGTGGCAGAGTTAAAAAGTGTATACTTGGCATCAGATAGATCCTCAACCCCTTATTTATGTCACGATCTGGCAAATGTCAATTTTCTCATCTATGAACCTATAAGTTTGCTGGTTGAGATTAAATAAGATGTATATGAAGAACCTGGCATAAAGTCTCAATGAACAGTGCTTATTTTCTAGCTATTAATCAAATGATACCTTGTGGCATATGCTACATGGTCACCTTGTATTACTTAAATTGCATTTATGCCTTCTCTTTCCAGTGAGATTGTAACATCTTTGAAGAAGGAAACATATCCATGCTATATGCTTCCCTATATTCCCAAAAAGACCCTTCTCAGGGCAAGTCATGATTTAAGCACAGCAGGCCTGTGATTTGTGTTCAGGTTCAAGTACGAGCAACACATTCAGATCCCTCTCTGAATTCCATTTCTCTATCAGCAGTGCCTGCCGTTACCTAGTATCTTCATGATCTTTCAAAATGCTCTAGCAGTGCTTGCTGAATACATGAACTAATTGGTAGATGATGGGAAGACTGTCCTCAAATTGCTTAATGCATTGGACATTCTCTGTCCTTACAGCACGTGGCCTTTCAGAAATAATCAATACTATAAACAATATGTCCTCCTTCCTCAAATATACCCTCTTTGGGCTTTTTATAAAATCTCTTCTTTCTCTTTTTCCAATCACTTTGTTATTTTTTATTCTCCTTTGTCCTCTTTTGCCTGACCTTTAAACACTAAGCATCTTTAAACTTCAGGTCTACAGATTCTTCTCGTCTCACCTTACATTAAATTCATCGGTACCATGTCTTTAATTACCATCAACATGCTAAGTATTAATTGCAAATCTCCAGTCTATATCTCCTCTGAGTTCCAGATACATAGATGTCTCCCTATCACCTCAAAGAGTTCAGGATCTTCTCCTTCAACACTGCTTCTCCTCTGGAGTTTCCTGCTCAGTGTTGGACATCACTACCCACTCAGCTGCACAGCTATGATCTCTCAGAGGGAATTTTTCTCAACCCTGTCTTGCTGCGCGGATGTGCTGAAACCTAAACAGGTAATCTAAGCAGCTGTTGCGTAATGAACTGCAAGATTTTAGAACAGAAAAGTAATTAAAAATGCTTTTAGTGACTCAAGAAACTGCCCAGAACACTACAGCACAGCAAGCAAATGCTAGTTAGAGGATAGTTTGGCATAATTTTGTTTTGTTGTTTTCCCCCCAAGAAGTAGTTCTTTTGTACTAAAGACCTGAAACCAAACTCTAGGATCAAAAGCAAACTAAAAAGAAAAAAAGAAAGATTCTGTGGAGAGCCAACCAGTACTTATTTCCCTAGAGTAAAAAAAAAAAAAAAAGACTGTTTGTGTCATATTAAACTTTTCAGCAAAATATGGACATTACAGCATTGTTAAAATATTTTTAAACCTAGCTGTATGCCACATGCTATAAAAAAGATTTAAGGTGCTTACAAAAGATAAATAGAATACAAAAAGCTAAGACTGGAAGAAGATAAGAAAGAGATACTGTATCCATTGAAGATACAGTTAATGGCAAGACCACATTTAATTGCAAAGAAAATTACTGAATATCTAAATATAGAATTAACAAGAAATGTGCAAATCCTAAATGTACTATTGAATATAAAAGAAAATTGTGATAAACGAGGAGACACATTTCTGGATGAGAAAACCCAATGCTGTAAAGATGTCATATTTACGAAGTTAATGTAATTATAATGATTTTACTTTTTGAAATGTGAAAATTTACTCTACCAGACATTACAATGAACTATAAAACAATAAAGTGTGGTTTTGATACAAAATTAGATCAATATAATAAAATCATCTATGCATCAACATTTAAAAATAAAGTGAAGGTAATATTTCAAGTTAATAGAGAAAGAATGTATTGTTCAATAAATGATGTAATACTATTTCAAATTAACAGAGAAAGAATGTATTGTTCAATAAATGATGTAATAATCAGTTGGATTTTTTGAAAAGTTAATAAAATAGATTTCTGCCACATACAATGTACAAAAATATTCCAGCTTGATTACAAATTTTAATATTAAAAATAAAATATAAAATATTCTAGATAATATAATGGATTTGTCTCTTAGTGCCTGTAATCACCTTTGTAAGTACATGAAATACAATAGCTATAAAAGAAAAAATTGACAAATTCGTCTAAAATAAATTATAAGCTTCTGTACAATAAAAGATACCACACAGTTAAAGGCAAATAATAATCAGCAAAGAAGTTTCAACCATAACCACAAAATTTTAAGAACTTAATATAAAGAACTACAAAAATGATTTTTAAAAAGAAAATTGGACAAAAGTCAGGAGCGGTCAACTTACAAAGACAGACAATGATCAATAAACAAACCAAAACAAAAAGTCCCTAACTTCATTATTAAGAAAAAATAAAAAACAAAATAGATGTAAGTTTTACCCATCAAATTAGCAAAGATTACAAAGACTGATAATATTCCACATCAGCAGCTTGAAGACACAGGCACTGTCACGTGTTAGGTGGCTCCTTTCAAGGCATGACCGCATCTTCAGGGGGATGAGGCTCATCTTAGCTATTCCTTGATGTATTTTTCATTATTCGACTATACATAAATATTTTATAAAAGTAAGAGAAGCCAGGCATGGTGGCTCATGCCTGTAATTCCAGTACTTTGGGAGGCCGAGGCGGGCAGGTCACTTGAGGCCAGGAGTTCAAGACCAGCCTGGCAACATGGTGAAACCCTGTCTCTACTAAAAATAGAAAAAATTAGCCAAGTGTGGTGGCATGCCTGTAATCCCAGCTACTTGGGAAGCTGAGGCACGAGAATCATTTGAACCCAGGAGGCAGACATTGCAATGAGTTGAGATTGTGCCATTGCACTCCACCCTGGGCAAAAAAAAAAAAAAAAATTAAATTTAAATTTAAAAAGTAAGAGAAAAACAAGAAAATAGAAAAAAATGATAGGGATCGACATATTTTCTTCTTCATTTTGTTAGAGACAGAGTCTTGCTCTGTTACCCAGGCTGCAGTGCAGTTGTACAATCATCACTCACTGTAGTCTCGAACTCCTAGGAACCCATGCCATTCTTCTGCCTCATTTTCTTGAGTAGCTAGGACTATAGGCCCATGCCGCTATGCCCAGCTAATTTTTTAATTTTTTGTAGAAACAAGATTTCACTATGTTTCTCAGGCTGGTCTTCAACTCCTGGGCTCAAGCCATCCTCCTGCCTCAGCCTCTCAAAGTGCTGGGATTAAAGGCAGGCACCACCATGCCCAGTTGATCAACATTATCAGAATATAAACCCTTGAAGATCAAGATCCCTAAAAAGCTATTTGAAAATTCAAGAAAGATACATACTTTAAACATACAAGTTCTGTATCAATGCAAGGTGTCACTATCATCAAGGGAGTGTTTCTTTCTGTACTATAATTTTAGATTTTTTGCATTATATATGAGGGTATTTACTATGTGCTATTTATTATTGAGGAAATAAATGCTTGAGTAAATAAATGATGTACACAATGAATAAGCAATAAAATAATAATCTGTAACTCAGAGAAAGGTTGGAAAGAATTAGCACTTGGCAGTCCACAGAGTATGATCTAATACCCTAAGGAAATGCATTTTTAACATTTTAGCAAATAAGTTAACAAAAGTCTGCTTTCTTTATTCACTACTTGTTTGTAATAAAGTAAAAAGGTTCGAAGTCTTCAAGCTGACTACTAAAAATTGGTGGGGATGCTGTACAAATGGATCTGGAGAATACACTACAAAATTGAAACATGTACGTTTGACTGCTTCGCTGTGACAAAACCTCTAGGCCAGGGGTCCCCCGACCCCACTGGGCCCTGGACCAGTACCAGTCTGTGGCCGTTAGGGCCCAGGCCACACAGCAGGAGGTGAGTGGCGGGCAAGTGAGCATTACTGCCTGAGCTCATTCAGCCTCCTGTCAGATCAGCAGCAGCAGCATTAGATTTCCATAGCAGCAGGAACCCTATGGTGAACTGTGCATACAAGGGATCTAGGCTGCACACTCTTTACGCAAATCTAACTAATGCCTGATGATCACAGGTGGAACAGTTTCATCCCAAAACCATCCCCCTGGTCTGTGGAAAAATTGTCTTCCATGAAACCAGTCCCTGGTGCCAAAAAGGTTGTGTAACATTGATCTAGGCAATATGTTCATCCCTCTCATGATTACTGAGCTCCAATATGAGCAAAAGGCTGTGATATGTGCCATGAAGAATAAAAGCAGAAAACAAAGAGTCCGGGAGCAGTGGCTCACGCCTATAATCCCAGCACTTTTGGAGGCCAAGGCAAGTGCCTCACTTGAGTTCAGAAGTTTGAGACCAGCCTGGCCAACATGGTAAAACCACATATCTACTAAAAATACTAAAATTAGTTGGGTGTGATGGCACATGCCTGTAATCTCAGCTACTCGGGAGACAGAGGCAGAGGTTGCAGTAAGCCAAGATTGTGCCACTGTACTCCAGCCTGGCTGACAGAGCAAAACTATGTCTCAAAAATAAAAATAAATAAACAAAGATGCTGCCAGAAATACATGCTTTTCTTCAGTGACTGTTTCCCACAGTATCTTAATAATCTTGATTTTCCCTTGATTGTGCATTATTCAATAAATATAATTCCCAAAACACTTAGGTAAGAAGCCTCTATTCCTCAAATTTTTCAGTATATTAAAAGGGCATGCTTCAAATGATATTAGTATTCTTTACTTAGATTATATATTCAATCAACAGAAACCTTTAAAATGCTCAGAATGTTAACTAGTTTAGTTAATGTTGACTTAATTCCTTCTCCTGGTCTGAGAACTATGGACTTCACACAATAAATGAAATACAAAAATTGTCATAACTGAGTTAGCTGAAAAGCACATAGTCAACACCCACTCTCCCCAAAGCAAAGAGCTTATGAATTAATAAATGTGACCAAGATGAAAAGGAATGTCCCATGTTTGGTTAGCCATGTCACTGGCATGTACATTTAGCCTTTGGGAATGTAGGTAGGGAGAGGGATAATTCAGTAGATAGCAGCAAGACAATGCCCCTGACCTATACGTTATTCAAAAGAAAGTGGGAGGGCGAAAATTAGAGGATTAGGAGGCAAAACAAAACTGCTCTATATGCAGAAGGGATAAAGGTAGCACGGGAATGATTCAGTGGAATAATTTTTCCTATCTGATAATGCTATTATTGAAACACCCACCTGCTATTCAGTAGTATCTTGGAAACTTGCATATGATTTGGCTCACCAAAGACTGGAATTCAGAAATTAAATGTCAAGCATGCTAAGTAATATGACCTCATTATAAGATAAGCATTAAGGCAATAGTCGCAAACATGAGTCAAGAGAATTACGTGAGCCTAAGAATCCTAGGCTTGGCCGGGCACAGTGGCTCACGCCTGTCATCCCAGCACTTTGGGAGGCCAAGGCGGGTGGATCACGAGGTCAGGAGATCAAGACCATCCTGGCTAACACGGTGAAACCCCGTCTCTACTAAAAATACAAAAAAATTAATTAGCCTGGCGTACTGGCGGGCGCCTGTAGTCCCAGCTACTCAGGAGGCTGAGGCAGGAGAATGGCATGAACCCAGGAGGCGGAGCTTGCAGTGAGCCAAGATCATGCCACTGCACTACAGCCTGGGTGACAGAGCTAGACTCCATCTCAAAAAAAAAAAAAGAGAGAATCCTAGGCATTTAGAGCTGAAGTAGATCAAAGATCACTTATCTGGCCCTTTCACACTTCAGGAAGAGTTTGAGGCATTCTGCTTAACACACATCATCTCATTAAACTCACTTATTCAACAAAAACATTAATGTCATTTTATGCACCAGGCTCTCCTCTGGGTGCTAGAGATAAGGAGCAAACAAAATAGACAAAGTTCCTGCCTTCGTCAATCTTTTATTCTCGTGGGAAAGAATAAGCAAAATAAATGAGTGAAACAATGATGAGTTGGATTAAGATAGCCCCAAGGAGAAAAGACAAACCAGGGAAAGGGGCTGTGAAATATCATGGGAAGAAGATAGAAATGCTCAGAAAGGAGATATCTAAGTCTTCACTTTACACAATTTTGAGGAAAGACTTTAAAAATATGGGGCACTAGTGATACAAATGTCCATGGGTAGATTATTCGAGGCAGAAAGAACACCAACTGCAGACCCTGGGTGGGGACACCTCTGCCCCATTCAAGGAACACCAAGGAGAGGAGTGTTGCTGGAGGGAAAAGTCGAAAGTGGTGAGGTCAGGGAAGCAACAGGGGGTGAGATTTTGCAGGGCCTTGGGGATCATGGTCCTTTTACTTTAAACGAGCTGAGAAGTCATTGGAGGGCTGGAGCAGAAGAGTGACATGGTCATATTTATGTTCTAACAGAGCCATCCCATTGCCATATAGACTGAAGAGGGGCAAGGGTGGAAGGAAGCTTTCAAGCTAAAAAGAATGGTAGTGGTCAGGTAGTAGAAATTGTTGGATTCTGCATATATTTTGGAGGCAGGACTAGCAGGATTTGTTAGTGGATGTGGAGATGAGAGAGAGACAAGGAAGAGTCCAAAATGTTTGGCATGAGTAAGTGGAGAAATGGAGCTGCAATTTGCTGAGATGGGGAAGACCATGGGAGACCCCCACATGAGATGTACGGTGGACATTCAAATGAATGTGTCGGGTGGGCACTCAGGTACTCAGGACTATGCGGGATGGTTTGTTTTTTGTTTTTCTGTTTGTTTGTTTGTTTGTTTGTTTTGAGACAGAGTCTTGCTCTGGCACCCAGGCTGGAGTGCATTGGTGTGATCTTGGCTCACTGCAACCTCCACCTCCCAGATTCAAGCGATTCTCCTGCCTCAGCCTCCTGAGTAGCTGGGATTACAGACCCGCACCACCACACCTGGCTAATTGTTTTGTATTTTTAGTAGAGACGGGGTTTCACCATGTTGGGCAGGCTGGTCTCGAACTCCTGACCTCAGTTCAGGATAGTTTTTAAGCCTTGAGAATGGATGAGATTGCATAGTGTATGAGTGTAGATAGAAAGGAGAAATCCAAGGTTGGGGCTCTGGGGCACTCCAACATTAAATAATCAAAAAGAAGAAGAGGAACCAACAAGATAGACACAGAAGAAGTGACGTGAGACAGGAAGGAAAATAGAATATGTGTCCTGGAAGCCAAAGAAAAGCAGAGTGGTTGAATGCTGCTGTCAGGTCAAGGCAGGCAAGGACTGTGGCTTGGCCAGTAGATTAGCAATGTGAATGTCATTGGAGATCTTAAAGTGGGCAGTTTCAGTGGGGCAATCCGCGTGAAAACATGATAGGAAGGGAGGACAGCACTTGGGGAGAGTATTCTTCCAAAAATTTTCTCTACTCTGAAGAGAAAGAATCAAATAAGATAAGAAGCTGGAAGGGTCTAGTAGACCTGTGAAGTGGTGCTGTTGTCACCATGTACCCATGCTTTGATAGAATAAAACAAATTGCCCAAGTTTTTTTATTATTGTATATGGTGAGAAGCCGTTATTCTGAACCCAGAGCTCATATTCTTAACCTACACTCCACAACAAAGAGATGAAAGCAAGAGCTTCATTTATTGGTACATCTATGGGAACCAGCACAGGCCTATGGGCAAAAAGAGCCAAAAGAAAATTATGGAATACTTAAAGGAAACAGACTATTAGTCTTAATTTTAAATTTTCTATATACTATCTACCTATGCCTAATTTAAATTTCGTAGATACTCTCAGCCTGATGCAGTGGCTCACATCTGTAATCCCAGCACTTTGGGAGTCCAAGACAGGTGGATCACTTGAGGTGAGGAATTCAAGACCAGCCTGGCCAACATGGTGAAACCCCGTCTCTGCTAAAAATACAAAAATTAGCTGGGCTTGGTAGTGCACACCTGTGATTCCAGCTACCTGGGAGGCTAAGGGATGAGAATCATTTGAATCCAAGAGGTGGAGTTGGATTGCACCACTGCACTCCAACCTGGGTGACAGAGCAAGACTCTGTCTCAAAAATTAAATTAATTAATTAATTACATAAAATAAATTTATCTAGATACTGTCATATATATAGCTTTCTCATATTATTTTAACTGGAATTCTATGAAGGAGAAAATGCATGTCTTTTCTACAAATGTCAACTTCCCATTGGAGAAAGTAGCTGTCCAGGATCGGTCTTCCAGGGAGGCAGAAGCAGCATCCCTTAAGATTTTCAGTGTTTATTTTCAGTAATTTCCATACCTGACCTCTCATCAAACACATCCATTTATCCATACATTCATTCAACAAACATTCCTGATCTTCTGTGTCACCAAATCTCTTCTAGAAGCTGAGGGTGCTACAATGATCAAACCACACTAAGATCTTAGTTCTCACGAAGTTTACATTAAATGGGAAAGGGGCAGACATTTGAAACAAAACAAGTAGAGTTTTGGATGATGACAAATATAATTTTTAAGCACTTTATGGCATAGAGTAAAATCAGTGCAGGCTACTTTGAATAGGTAGGAAAGTCTCTTCAGGTGGTTGACATTGATTGAAACTGAATGAAGAAAAGGAAGCAGCTTTTCCTAGCTCTAGGGAAAGCTGGGTCCAAAAAACGAATGAGTGAAAGGCCCTCTCTTAAGTCTTAGAAGAACAAGCTAAAGAAGTCAGAAGTATAGTGAGGGTAGACAAGTGAAGTTTTAGAAGTCAGCAGCACAGAATGAGCCAAATCCCACAGGTTGCGGATCGTATTCTAAGCATGATAGGAAGCTATTGGAGATCTTGAATTCAGATCCCACTGGCTCCTAGTGGCAGATGGATTGTAGGAGATGAGGGTGAAAACCAGGAATCCAGTTGAAAAGCCACTGGAGTGGCTCAGCCAAAGGGAATGGTGGCTGGAATGGAGGGTTGGACTAGGTTGGCAGCTGGAAGGGATGTTAGACCAAGAAATCTGTGCTATGGAAAGAGGGATAATCTGATGGATTCACAGAATATTTTGGACTTAGAGCTGGCAGAATGATAACGGAATGCCGGGGGTTGGGGGGGTGGGGGAGGCAGTGAATGATCACAGGAGAGAAACAAAAAGTGACCACCTAGGTTTCTGGCAAAAAACAGGCTGGGTGATGATGCCTTCTACTGGCAGGGCACAGTTTGAGGAAGCAGCAGGATTGGGATGGGACTGGAAAAAAGAAATCATGAGATCTCTATGCGATACCTCATCGGCGATGTTGACCAAGCAGTTGGATGTGTTGCAGGGAAAAGTGAGATATTCAACCTGAAATTCAAGTCCCACCCCTCATAAAGCTATTCTTAACAAAACCGGTCCAAAGTATCTTACCCTCCTTTGAAATCTTTATGACACTTCCTATCCAAACTTCATTGGGCAAGTGTATTTGGTTATCTTCTGCCTTGTGGTATGTTTTGCAGATTTTTTTCTTTTTTTTCTTTTTTTTTTTTTTTTTGCAGATGTTTCTAATTCAGAAGACGAGTTCTGAATTAGAACCCAAGAATTGCACTCCTATTTCTGTCCCTAAGAAGCTGGGTGATCAATGGGTGTCACTTATTCTTTAAAGGTGACCATGTCCTCACCTAAAATTAGAGTTAGGCAAGGATTAGGTAATTAATGTATTGCTTATGTTACTAAGTAATAGTTAAGTAATTTATTTCATAATTACTTCACTCATTGAAATCAAGCACTATGAACTTCTTTAAAGGTCCATAGCAGAGAGCACAAAGCGTGTACGCAGTAGGCACTCAATAAATGCAGACAGACTGACATGCACAGTCAAGCTAAACTCTTTAAATTCCTAAAAGAGTAATTGTTAATGTTTTGAGGAAGAGTCCAGCATCTGAAGGAATGAGGGGCACAGGTTGGGAAGTGCCCGACTTCCTGCCCCACCTGGGGACCCCGCCGCCTTTCAGTGGCTGCGCCCTCCTCCGCCCCAAACCCTCCCAGTCTGGGAGCCCAGGGTCCCACGTGGGGATGACGGGGCCGGGCTGGTGCGTACCTGGCGGGTAATACCGGAGCAGGAGGCTCTTGAGCTTCATTTTCTTGCTCTCTTATCCCCGGCCGATGGGCTTCGTAGCCTTGGAAACGGCTAAACAGCAGCGGGACGCGGGTGCGCATGCGCAGGTTGCACCGCGCGGTCCTGGGGCGCAGAGCTGGGAGGTCTGGCTCCGCGGGCGGTTGGTGGCGACCCGGGGCTCCGGCGCGCGGGGGGCGAGTGTTCTGGAGGTGTCTAGAGTGAAAGAGGTGAGGGCACCTCGTGTCCTCACTAAGGGCGACCTCAGAGGAGCTAGGCATGGCCGGGAACCGACGGCCTAGGCCACAGCCTGGGCTGCATGCACTTTTTTAGCACACTGCGTTTCCCAAAAGGAAGGCTGGGAGGAAAAGCCCATCGCTAATTACTACTCTAGGGCCCCAGCCCGTGCCCTGTCCTTGTCCTCCCAAAAGAAAAATGACCTCAACTTAATATTTTGCATTTCCTGACTCTGTGCCCTACATTGCTTTAAACGGTGTATGCACACATACTCATACAATCCTAACAAGGTGTGAGTTATGCACCACTTCTTAAGGATGAAGTAACTCAGAATTAGAGAAAGTGGAGAACTACCAGAGGTCGCAGCCTAAATGGATAGGCGGGAATGGAAGGCAGGTGCGTCGGAACCTACACCAGAAAGCCTACACCTGTGCTCTCAACCTGGGCTTAAAACTCTCCAGGCCTTCATGCGGCTTGTCCAATTTCTTGCCAGCATCGTTGTTTGCCTGCCACGTTTCCATGAGAAAGCCTGCGGAGAGACAGAGTCAGCCAACCAGCTTGTCAATTTCCTTTAAGGAATTTGGCCTCAACTGGAATTTCTCAAACTTGAGTCATTCCTGTGTTATCTGCGCAACTATGAGCCATATCTCTCCTTACCTCTTCCAGAGATCCATACCTAAGTTTTAAGTTCTTAAAATGTCTCTAGATTGACTCACTTATTTTACTTCACTTAGTAAAATGTAATCTTAAAAATTACCTTTACTTTTACAGTTACTGGCTGTTTACTGAAAATTATATGAAATTTAATTCCATCTGTGAAGTTTTTATTTCTAAATTTAAAATTATATGAAATTTTCAGTAAACAGCCAGTAACTGTAAAAGTAAAGGCAATTTTTTAAAGGCGTTGAATTGCTTGTTAAAGGCTGAGCCATCGGGAACTTGTGCGTCCATCTCAGGGAGACCTGGCCTTCAGAGATGACAGCATTCAGCCCCAGGAGGAGCCTGCAATTCGTCCTCGGTCTTCCCAGCTTGTGCCCCCCATGGGGATACAGGACAGTAAGGAGCCAAACAGAACCTGCTGCCTGAATGGGGGAACCTGCATGCTGGGGTCCTTTTGTGCCTGCCTCCCCTCCTTCTATGGATGGAACTGTGAGCACGGTGTACGCAAAGAGAATTGTGGGTCTGTGCCCCATGACACCCGGCTGCCCAAGAAGTGTTCCATGTGTAAATGCTGGCACGGGCAGCTCCGCTGCTTTCCTCAGGCATTTCTACCTGGCTGTGATGGCCTTGTGATGGATGAGCACCTCATGGCTCCCAGGACTCCAGAACTACCACCGTCTGCATGCACCACTTTTATATGCTAGCTGGCATCTGCCTTTCTATACAAAGTTACTATTAATTGACATTGACCTATTTCCAGAAATATGATTTTAGATATCATTCAAATTTCATGACCAGTAAAGGCTGCTGCTATAATGTCCTAACTGAAAGATGATCATTTGTTAGTTGCCTTAAAATAATGAATACATTTCCAAAATGGTCTCTAACATTTCCTTGTAGTACCAAATACTTCTTACCTCTTTGCCCTGCCCTCCCCACAAAAACTACTTCTTTTTTCAAAAGAAAGTCAGCCATATCTCCATTGTGCCTAAGTCATGTTTCTTGATACATGTAATTCTACCAAGGTCTTCTTAAAAGTTCTTTTAAACAATTGAATATTATCTTCAGATTATTAAAGACCAATCCTAATGTGGACCTTAGGATACAGTTTTGAGTAGAGTTGATAAAAATCAATTAAAATAGTCTCTTTAAATGGAAAGAAAGCCTCTTTAAGGGGAGGAAACAGAGGGCTGAAGGAATGGAAGTTCATCTGCATGTATGCAGGGAGACTGGGTAGGAAAGAGGAAGCAAATGGGAGAGAGAGGTTGGAAAACATAAAATGGGTTACTTGATGGTGATTAGGTGGGTGTAGAGAAGAAAGTTAAAAGGCTAAATGGAAGGGTAAGTTTCCGTCATCTATAGAAAGCTATATGAGACAAGGACTCCAATTTTTTTCCCAAAGGTGTTGTAAAAAGAATGAAGTCTCCTTATAAAAAAAAAATTATACCTCAATGTCCCCAACAAGACTGCTTAATAAATTATGTTTCCTCCAAGCTATGCAATTCTTTTAACTGTTGTAGAAGAGAAAATGTTCACAATATATTTAGTTGTAAACCAAATGATAAAACTACATATTGTAAAGCCAACTTTTAAAATACATTGTATATATGCGTATGCACAGTAAAAATGGAAAATATATTGACCTAAAGGCATTGAATTACTATATACTACTATATATTACTATATTACTATATACTAATTACTATATACTGCCAAAGACTCTGAACCCAAAACCATCCCTTTCTTTGTAAACAAAGGAAGGAAGAAAGGAAAGAAAGAGGGAGGGAGGGAGGGAGGAAGGGAAGGAAGGAAATTAGCAACTGTTTGAGATTGTTAAGACAGGCTACAAGACGGAATAGCACTCAACTGAGCCTTCCTACTTGATGTGTTCAGAAGATTGAAAAGATTGTTGAGATGGCAAAGCCTTTGCTACTAAGTGACACAATTTAACCCAATATAAATGTGCAAAAAAAAAATCATCTTTTTCTCACCAGTAGTAAGCATCCCATACTTGGAAAACAGGGAACCGTATGAAATCCAAGCTCTCTCCCAGCTCAAACTTTCTCCTAGCCACTAAGACACTCTGGAAGGACTTATGGAGGGAGGGGCAAAGAGTTTGCTCTATAGAAATGAGAAAGTCTTTGGTAGATTTTGGTCACCTATGTTATTGCTTGTGCTCATGCCATTTAAAATGTGATCTTTGGGTGGGGCACCCATTTAAAACGTGATCTTTGGGTGGGGCACGGTGGCTCTTACCTATAATCCCAACACTTTGGGAGGCCAAGTTAGGAGGATTGCTTGAACCCAGGAGTTCAAGACCAGCCTAGGCAACAAGGCAAGATCCGGTCTCTACAAAAAAATTAATTAGCTGGGTGTGGTACATGCCCCTATTGTCCCAGCTACTCAGGAGGCTGAGGTGAAAGGATCACTTGAGTCAGGGAGGACATCACCAATAGTGGGACAAACTGACATATATTACCTGGTATTACGATGCACTGAAGAGAACACAGCAAAGCCGGGTGCAGTGGCTCATGCCTGTAATCCCAGCACTTTGGGAGGCCAAGGTGGGCAGATCATAAGGTCAGGAGATCGAGACCATCCTGGCCAACATGGTGAAACCGCATCTCTACTAAAAATACAAAAATTAGCTGGGCGTGGTGGAACGTGCCTGTAATCTCAGCTACTCTGGAGGCTGAGGCAGGAGAATTGCTTGTACCAGGGAGTCGGAGGTTGCAGTGGGCCGAGATCGTGCCACTGCACTGCAGCCTGGCAACAGAGCAAGACTCTGTTAAAAAAAAAAACAAAAAACAATAAACAAAAAAAAACAGCAATTCTCTGGAATTCCTGCCCAAAATGAATTACTTGACTCAAATCATAAGGAAACATCGGAGCAAACCAAACTGAGGAAATTGTATAAAATAACTGTTGACAGTCAAGGAAAGAAAACTCTAAAGAAATACTTGAGATTAAATAAATCTAAAAAGGACAACTAAATGCACTGAGTGATGATAGATCCTGAACCAGAATAATAATTACTTACAAAGGGCATCGTTGAGACAATGGATGAACTCTGTATATAGGGATTGTGGTTTAGATAATAGTATTTTATCAGTGTTAAGTTTCTTGACTTTGATCATTGTACTGGTTATGTAAGAGAATGTCCTTGTTCTTAGGAAAAGTATACTGATTTATTTCAAAATAAAAGGGCATGCTGGCACCCTGATCTCAGACTTCCAGCCTCCAGAACTGTGAGGAAGAAGTTTCTATTGTTTGTGAGCCACCCAGTCAACGGTACTTGTTATGGAAGCCTGAACTAAGACATTCCCACCAGGACCTGCCTTGAACAACCAGAAACTAAATAATGAGTAGCAGTAATTTTAATCTCCTAAACCAATCCAGGCTAATACAGTGAAGTCACTCTAGGCTTCAGTTCTCCAAGCATGGTTCCCGGACCAGCAGGGTCAGTATCACTTAGGAATTCATCAGCAATGTACATTTTCGCCTCCCCCGAGTCCCGACCTACTGAATCAGAAACACTGATGGTGAAGTCCAACAACCCATGTTTAAATGTGCTTTCCTGGTGATTCTAGTGAATGATGAAGCTTGAGAGCCACTGTGCTAGCTTAATAGGTTACACTGGCTTGGACAGAACGAAGTGAGTGAAATTGGGCTTCATCTCCAATGATCAGGTCTTTCTGTGTATTCCAGGCAGTCTTCCCTGATTGTCAGGAACAGTAAATTGATTGTTCAACCACATCCTCGAATGTAAATGAGAACCAGAAACAACACGGGAAGAAGCTGGAATTTTCTACATAATTGGGTTTCAGATGCTCCAATGCACTGAGAGAGGACAGTGGACATCAGGCTGAGGGAAGAATCAGAAGGTACCTGGGAGGATGGGAGTTGGGGAGGGAGGTAGTCTCTAAAATCAAAATATGTATGGTGGCTCTGGTGGCTCACGCCTGTAATCACAGTGCTTTGGGAGGCCAAGGCAGGAAGACTGCCTGAGCTCAGGAGTTTGAGACCAGCCTGGGCAACAGGGAAAAACCCCATCTCTACAAAATGTACAAAAATTAGCCCAGTGTGGTGGCACTCACCTGTAGTCCAAGCCACTCAGGAGGCTGAGGTGGGAGGATGGCTTGAGCCTAGGAGGCGGTGGTTCAGTGAGCTGAGATCACACCACTGCACTCCAGCCTGGGTGACAGAGCCAGAACCTGTCTCAAAATATATATATATATATATGGATGTAGTATATCTATACATATATATATTTATATTTATAGAGAGAGAGAGAGAAAGAGGAGGAGGAGGAGAAGGAAGAAGGAGTCAGTCCGGGGGATCCAGATTCTGTATTTTTGAGGCTGGGCAAGGTAAGGGAGGAGTAGGGCTTCCGGCTGCGGCTGGGCTTGGTGGATTCCATTTGGCTCAGCTTCTCCTGGAGAAAACCAACTTCAGTGAGATGACTGCATCACTGGTGTTGGAGCCTCACTGAGAGCAGCAGATAAAAAGAGAGATGCAATCCTCTCCTAGAAAGAGAAGGCACAGATGCTCAGAGCCAGGCAGGAGCAGTCTGCTGTGCACAGGGTTTAAAGGTGACCTCATCACAGCAGGCCCCAGAGCGGAGGAACGGCATCAGGGTGGGGGCATGTGGACCAGACATCGCCATTTACCCTCTTCCTCTGCCTGCCTCCATCCCCACAGCAGGACTCAAAAGCATCTGATCTTACCTGGGACTTGAAAACTAACAGGGCCAGGGCCACTAATTGTATCATTCAATAAATGTGTATAAAGGACCTGCTAGTACCAGGCATGCTGCTGTTATAGATCTAATTCTGAAAAATATTGCAAGGGAGTTATTCACAGAAAGAATCAGACTTCGGGTGAGTTTGAAATGATTGTAGGTTGCCAGGTGAGGTGGCTCACGCCTGTGATCCCATCACTTTGGGAGGCCGAGGCGGTGGACCACCTGAGGTCAGGAGTTTGAGACCAGCCTGACCAACGTGGTGGAACCCTGTCTCTACCAAAAGTATAAAATTAGCCGGGCATGATGGCACCTGCCTGTAATCCCAGCTACTTGGGAGGCTGAGGCAGGAGAATCGCTTGAACCAAGGAGGCGGAGGTTGCAGTAAGCTGAGATCATGCCATTGTACTCCAGCATGGGTGACAAGAGCGAAACTCCATCTAAAAAAACAAAACAAAAAAGAAGAAAGGAAGAAATGATTGTAGGTTAGTGGGAGAGAGACCTCTAGGTGTGACCAAATTTACATTCACTGATGGGTCAATGCCAGTACATGGCAGGCTGATAAACAGCTGGCACAGCTGATAAACAGCTTTGCCACTGAGTCATTAGAGCAGAATGCCTGACTTGAAGCCTACCGTTTTCTAGACATGCGATCTTGGGCAAGGTCCATCACCTCTCTGGGCTTTAGTTTCCTCCTCAAAAAGCTAGAAATGATCATCGTATCCAATTCATAGAGTTGTCACTATGAGCCTGATTCACTTGAAACATTCTGTAAGAATTAGGGACGGTGATGATAATAATAAGCATTATTATGCTAAATTTGTTTGAAACTGAGGAAAGGGCATGTACATATCATTTCCATTTCAATTGATGATCTAGGTCAACAATTGCTCCAACTGCAATTTGGAATCTTTTGTGTGATCCTTGACAAGTATACCTTGCTAATTATATCAATTAGTGTTAGTACAGTTGGCTTAAACATTAAAATTAGTTTATATTTTTAAAATCATAACTACTTTCTCTGTGGACCCAAATAGATTTACTTTCTTAAATAAATGGCCTAGAGGATCTGGAAGGGAAGAATGGATTCTATACCTTCCCAAGCTAGAGACAGTCCAGAGAAGAACGATACAGGTGCAGAAAGACCAGGGATATCTGGAACATGAACCAGAGACCCTGGGGTGGGCATAATGCCACCCTTTGTGACTGGCACACCATAGGTCCTTGATTAGTGAGTGATTTTCATTATGATTTGGAAGAGGAAGTCATTGATTATGTGCAGAACTAGAGGGCAGGGCTAAGAGAGTTGGATTCATGGAGGCAGATGTTGGCTCCCTATAAAGAACTCCATTGCCAGTTTGTCCAGTAATGGATGAATAGACTAAGCTGTGTCCAAAAGTATGAGAATTTCCCAGCACTGGAAATGTTCTAGCTGAGGCAGTTTGACCGGTTGCCAAGATGATTGTAAAACATAATACTAAGTCGGCTGAGAGACAGGACTAGATAAAATTTTCCTTTCGTTTCTATGGTTCCATGATCTTGTGCTCGCTGTGTGTCTGTGTGTTTTCACAAAAAGATAAATGTGGAAAGGTATGAAACAGTGGGTTGCTCGTTGGAAGACAGAAGTTCCAATCCTGCCCTTTCATTGATGACCTTTAAGCAAATCGTTTGCCCTTCTAATCCTCAGTTACTCAACTGCAAATGATTTTCGCTCATTCCATTCAGCACTCAGGCACCACGACTCACTTATTCCTGCTCTAGCTTTGATTCTTGTCATTCTGCCACCCAGTAAGCCTCCCACGTCAGCTGTTCTAAAGCCTCACCCAGTGAAGAACACCTTGTCCACATGCTCAATTTGATTTTCTGCAACAGTATGTGCTGGATGTGGAGTTCACATCACACACTCCAAAATGTCCCTACCGTACAATGCCTGCCTCCAATCCCTATGCCAACAACTGCATCTGGCCACTCTCAAGTAAACTCGCGGGACCCTAGTGATGGTTCATTCATTCATGTTGAAAACTCCATTCTATTCGGTGTTACTTGTCTGATTTTTCTTCCTCTTACAGGGTTTACTCTAAACTCCTGAAGGATCTGATACAATAGCCCTTTGCGGATTAATGGAGAAAAGGTCTGAAATTATTAGCCTTGGTTGTCATTGGTTCTATGCTCCCACTTGCATTATAATGCCCTCCTCAGCTTGTCAGGGTGCCTCCTACCACCTTCACTGCAGCAACTTGCTGAAATGTCACTGCACCCTGTTTCAGCCCCCAGAGGACAGTCTGCTGTGTGCCACTTCTGGAGTCTCTCCTCTTGGCCCTGGGTCCCTTAAAGAACCTGTAGTTCTTGGTGACTTCCATGCCCCACTCTGGGGTCCAGTGAACTTCTAAATACCTAAACTTGCCAGTTTGACAGATAAATTAGTCATCTCTCTCCAGCCTGCATCAGGCTGCCATTTCCACTCAATGCCCACTCCTTTCTGCAATGCATGAAAGCTGCTTTGTGAGGCTTGCTGGATTTCCAGGATCACCTCAAAGAAGCTCGGCGTCATTTATCTCTCTTCTTGGATCCCAAAATTCCAAAGAAGTTCTCTCCTGCCCTCCTACCTCCAACTGTGACTAATTGTCTCCCTCCTTCTCCCTTCTACCCAGTTAAATGAGTCATTCTCTAAATATGCTGATGGTAGTGGTGCTGGGGATTGACTGGAATCAGATCACTGGTGCCCTCTGCCTTGCCTGAGAAAAAGGCCCTGGCTAGGCTTGTGAATTTCATGCAAACAGGTAAAGACATCCTGCCATGCTTTATATGGTGCCACTGCTAGCACAAGCCATGACTTTGGGCAGATTAGGGAAAGGCATCAGCTCTGGGTTAGAGGGTGTTCCTTCACACTGCCAGGACCTCCAGGCCTAATGGGGGCATTCCCGCAGCCAGAAAACCCAAGCTGAGCAAGGGCCAGCCTTTGCCCCACTCACTGGCAGGGCTTTGGGAGCTATCCAGACTTCTCAGTGGGCCACCCAGCCCTGGACACGTGCCCAGGGGGCAGCTGATCATTGTAGGCTCCCCCTAGACTAGCCCTGCTCACAAAAAGCCTTCACCTCTCCACACTCCCTCATGAGCTTATACTCTCCTCTAGTGTACTTGGTTGCAAGTTGCTTTTCAATGAAAATGAAGTGAGGGAAAGATGGTGCAATGTGTAATTACATCAGACCTGCCAAGAGTCAGACTTTTGATGTTGCTGATGAGTTCGTCCTCTTTAGGGAGGCCTGATGGCCTGCCCGGAAAGGACACAAATGTGAGTCAGAGGAGCTTGACGTTTGAATGCCAGTTCTTCCACTTACTAGCAGATCCCTTTTAGAACCTCGATTTGCTCAAATCAAAACGGGGATAATAATACTATCTGCCTCATGGGGCTATTGTATAAAACAAATGATGTAAATATATACAGTGGGCTGTATACCCAATTTCTAGGCACCTAAAATCTTTTTTCGTTGAACATTATCGTAACGGAATTAACCACTTCTATAACTAAATTGTTTAACTCTGGAATACGTGTTGATATGCAAAATATGTCTAACCATCTATTCCAAATAAAATACCACATCGAGGGATTGTTGCAATTAGGTCAAGGTTATTTATCTGCTAAATAGCTCACTGCCAGTAGGGGGCAGAAGTGTACACCTGTTTTATAAGAGCATTTACATTCTTTCCGTAGGTCAATAATAACTTAATTGTATATTTTAAAATAACTTAAATAATGTAATTGGGTTTTTTGTAACTCAAAAGATAAATGCTTCAGGGGATGGATAACCCATTCTCCATGATGTGCTTTTTTTTTCCAATCCTCAGAGACATCTGAAATGTGCTTATTTCACATTGCATGCTGTGTCAAAATATCTCATGTACCCTATCAATATATATACCTACTATGTACCCACAAAAATTTTTACAAATAATAAAAATAAAACTTTTTATAATAAAATAAACAATAAATACAACAAAATATTCAGAAAAGGAAGGAAGGAAGGAAGAAATGAAGGAAGGAAGGGAGGGAAGGAGGAAGGGAGCCCAGAGCCTAGGCCAGACAAAAGAGCCTAAGTATTGAGCAAACTCTTTCCTTTTAGCTACCTAAAACTTATCTTTGAAATAACTTGGCCGGGCGCGGTGGCTCACGCCTGTAACCCCAGCATTTTGGGAGGTAGAGGCAGGCAGATCACTTGAGATCAGGAGTTTGAGACCAGCCTGAGCAACATGGTGAAACCCCATGTCTACTAAAAATACAAAAATTAGCTGGGTGTGGTGGTGGGCGCCTATAATCCCAGCTACTTGGGAGACTGAGGCAGGAACATCGCTTGAACCTGGGAGGCAAGAGGTAGCAGTGAGCCAAGATTGCACGCCACTGTACTCCAGCCTGAGTGACAGAGTGAGACTCCGAGAAAGAGAGAGAGAGAGAGAGAACTCCTTGCCATGACACCAAACATGCTAGCAATGGTAACAATGATAATAATTAACATTTATTGAATGCATACTTTGTACCAGGCTCTGGGTTAATTGTATCACCCAAATCATCTGCTTCAATCTTCACAAAAACTATGCAGTAAGGACCATTGTTCCCATTTTACAGATGACAAATTGAGGCTTTGAGAGAAGAGCACAGCTTGATACGCCCTCTCTGTTTAAGGCCATTTTGAAATAGTTCTTTATTTAGCCAATTTTACTTGCCTTGGTCTAAATTTCTTACTTTTTCAATTATTTTCTTATTTCCTTTTGCAAATACAGAACTGTTTATACTACTGCTTCTCTGAGGTGCGTCTGTGCCAACTCAACACCACACAGTCCCTGCAGGACTTACCGTAACAAATTCCAAGATGATAATAGCTTGAATGTGTCTCAGCCAGGATTTTGGCTTTGTGTGTGTCAACTGAACTGAATATGTGCTTGCTGAAAAGTGACATTTTAAAGCAGAAAGGGAAAGATCAGCTTGTTCTTATTTCTTGTTTTCAATGGAAATATATACAGGAAATACTTAAAATGATAAAAACTTTTAAAGCCTATGGTTTTATGCTTGTTACTGCCTCTGTTAACTTTGTTCCCAGGACATAAATCTCACAGACTGCCCAGCATCTCAAAAGAGCAACAGTAGTAGGTAATGGGGGGAAGGTGTAGCTGCGCAAACCTTGGCTACTCTCCCAAAGGGGGATTCCAGATCCTCTCCACCTCCTCTTTCTTTCTCAGACTGTTGGCACTCCCTTTTGTCTTGAAGCTCCTTTCGCTTTTTCCTGCCTTTCTGTCTTTTTTCTTTCTCTCTTATGTTTTAGTTCCATGTTTCTGTCTCCAACTCTGCCTTTGTAGCAGCTCCTTTTCCTAAACCATCTCTTTCTTCTTCAAAGCCCACCTGAACAATCCCTTTCCCCTTTTCCTCATATTTTATCAGTTAAGTCCTTTTATTTCCAAAACTCTGACATGGCCACATTGGCAGCTTTGGTTGGCTCATTCAGTTCTGTTTCATTTCCCTGCCAGTGGGCCTAGTGCCTGCTGGAGACCGCAGACAGCTTCAGGGCCCAGGTTCCACGTGTGGCCTGATTCCCATCAAGCAGGCAACACCCAGGTGATGCCCGTGCCATCTGGGAAGCAGAAGCAGCATTGGCAGGTAGAGTCAGGGCTGCCGCAGGCAAGCTCAGCCCGGTCATCATGGGGGTAGTCTGTTTCCTTCTGCAGCAGCTCTAACAGAGCTCTCCACAGCTGGGCTCTAGCATCATGGATGGTGACAAGACAAGTGCAGGCCATTCAGAATGCCAGCGAGATTGTGGCCCACAGCCATCAGCTGTGTGCTGGTGTCCCAGTTCCCTATTCCCTGATCATAGCAGAGTCAGCCACAGGCCTAGTGAACAGTTCTGCAGTGTTGCTTTGGCAGACCCACCTGAAAATTCTGCTCAGAATCTGTTCTCGCCCACTAATGATTTGGAAAACGTACTTCCCGTTTCGATCACTTTAGTTAAAACTACCACTGAGTCCTACCCAATCATTAATTAGTAAAAGAAGTGATTAGAGACTGGGCTCAGTGGGTCATCTCTGTAATCCCAGCACTTTAGGAGGCCAAGGCAGGTGGATCACCTGAGGTCAGGAGTTCAAGACCAGCCTGACCAACATGCCGAAACTAAAAATGCGAAAATTAGCCAGGTGTGGTGGCATGTGCCTGTAATCCAAGCTACTCAGAAGGCTGAAGCAGGAGAATCACTTGAACCCAGGAGGCGGCGGCTGCAGTGAGCCGAGATCGTGCCACTGCAATCCAGCCTGAGTTACAGAATGAGAGAATGAGACCCTGTCTCAAAAAAATAAATAAATAAATAAATAAATCCACACTGGCTGTCAGTCAGCCTCCTCCCCACCAACCCCAGTTTATGCTCAATGGGCTCATTAATAAAGTAGTGTAAGAGGCTGGAATAAAGGTAAGACATGGCCCATAGAGGATTCCTTGTCACCAAGGCTGGCCTATCTATTGCCACTGGGCTGGCTTGCCAATTGCACTGCTACGCATCCAAATTGCCTGCAGCAGCAATCAACCTTGAAGCCCATTCTTTTACCATCCCTGGAGAGCCAGGCTGACACCCACCAGAAGGTTGATTGTGTTGGAACTGCTCATCACAAAGGGGACAAAAAATTGCCCACAGTGAAAAAGACTTATGCTAGATAAGAATTTTCCATATCTGGCCGGGCGCAGTGGTTCACATCTGTAATCCTAGCACTTTGGGAAGCCAAGAGGGGCAGATCACGAGGTCAGGAGATTGAGACCATCCTGGCTAACATGGAGAAACCCCGTCTCTACTAAAAATACAAAAAATTAGCCAGGCATGGTGGCAGGCGCCTGTAGTCCCAGCTACTTGGGAGGCTGAGGCAGGAGAATGGTGTGAACCTGGGAGGCGGAGCTTGCAGTGAGCCGAGATCATGCCACTGCACTCCAGCCTGGGCAACAGAGTGAGACTCCGTCTCAAATAAAAGAATTTTCCTTATCTGCCTGCTATGCTCCCTCCTGCAACACAATCTGCCTTGTCCATCATCCTGGTATCCAAACAATATTGTTTCTCACAAGAATCAAGGCAGTCAAATGGTTCTCTTCTCTTGCCACATACCTTGCCTGAGCAACTGGCCTATAGAACACTCAGCTCCAGGGCCGAGTGGAAAAGCAACACTTGGCCGGGTGCGGTGGCTCACACCTGTAATCCCAGCACTTTGGAAGGCTGAGGCGGGTGGTTTACTTAAGGTCAGGAGTTCGAGACCAGCCTGATCAACATCGCGAAACCCCATCTCTACAAAAACACAAAAATTAGCTGGGCATATTGGTGCACATCTGTCATCCCAGCTACTCTGGAGGCTGAGGAAGGAGAATTGCATGAACCCAGGAGGCAGAGGGTGCAGTGAGCTGAGGCCGCGCCAATGCGCTCCAGCCTGGGTGACAGAGCCGAGACTCCATCTCAAAAAAAAAAGAAAAGCAATATTTGTTAGGTTGGGGTGTGTTGTTCTTGATGTGGTTTTTTTGCTGTGAACCAGCACCCGACCATCTTGGGTGCTGTCTCTCCTATGGTCAGAACACGTTGTTCTGGATGCCAATGGTGGGAATGTGAGTGGCATCTCTTCACATTCCACCCAGTAATTTACTCAAAAAAGTCTGATCATGATCTATTCGACTGTGATTCTGCTTGTTCAGACGTCTGAGATCGTAAGAACAAAATTATTCCACCATTAGACACACCCGTGTTCCCGTAACTAAAAGCTACCCTTTGGCCATTTCAGGTTCCTTTTGTCCCTGAATAAACAATCCAAAAAAAAAGCAGGGGAGGGATTTACCACATTGACTGGGAAGAGTAGACTGATTATCAAGGGGAAATGGAGTTCCTGTTAAATCATACAGTTGATGGGAGAATATTCCTCAAACCCAGAAATCTTGTCATGTCAGGTGGTAAAAGTCAGTGGAAGACCATGGGAACCAACATGACAAGGACCTTCCTAGGGTTCATGCCATTCACAAAGGAAGGTTTGGATGACCCCCCCCTAAATAAACACCCTAGCCTGCTGAAGGCAAAGAGATCACAGAATTGGCAGTGGAGGAGGAAATAGACACAATAAATACCAAATAAACTTCATGATCAGTTGCGGAAATGAACACTGTTCATCGTTATAGCAAACTTATTTCTTCTTTCCACGCTGTGTCTTATTTTTTTCTCTCTCCCATTTTTCTACTATTGAGACAGCCAGGTGGGAGAGGGTCCCCAGAGAATCTCCAGCCTCTCCAACCGGCCTGAACACTGGGAGGAGCCACACAAGTTCATGGTATTTGCAACAGGGAGGAGCCTGGCCTGTCCTCTTCCTGTGTGGAAACTGGGATTCGAATGGCTGAGCAGGAAGTCCTCTAACGGGGACCCTGGCCTAGCTGAGAGTTCCTGTTTCCATCTTTTCTAACTTTTTTACCCAGTAAAACCCTGGGTTGTTGTTTTTTTTTTTTTTTTTTTTTTTGAGACAGAGTCTCGCTCTGTCACCCAGGCTGGAGTGTAATGGTGCAATCTTGGCTCACTGCAACCTCCACCTCCCAAGTTCAAGTGATTATCCTGCCTCAGCCTCCCGAGTAGCTGGGATTGCAGGCACCCATCCTCATGCCCAGCTAATTTTTGTATTTTTAGTAGAGATACAGACAGTCTATTGGCCAGGCTGGTCTTGAACTCCTGTCCTCAGGTTATCTGCCCACCTCAGCCTCCCAAAGTGCTGGGATTACAGGCGTGAGCCACCGCGCCCAGCCATAAAACCCTGTCTTACCATTCAAATTGTCGGCGAGCCTAAATTTTCATGGCTGTGGGACGAAGAACCCCATCTTCAGCTGAATTAAGGAAAAGTCCTGCAACACGATTTTACATGAGGCTTTTTGGTGGGTGTTAACTTCATAATTTTGTCCATAGGTTATAGTAAAACCATACAGGACTGTGGTTAAACTAAAGAAAGAAGGACTAAACCCCAGAGATGAACGCTGCAACTGATGACATTTGCGGTCCCTGCTTTGGGAAAAAAGTATTCTCATTTGCATGAGGGATGGTTTTATTGCCATCAAGAGAGCATTTTTTTGTTGCTATTGTGGTTTGAAAGTTTAAGTGTGGGAAGATGGGGACACATGGGTGTCAAGTGGTCAAAGCTTTGGTCTATGGCAAGAATTGGACTTTGGCTCCATCAGCTCCATCCCAACCCCCATGGACTTGGCTCCACTGCAAGCTGGAGGCTGAGAAACCAAAGACTACATTTCTGAGGCATCCTTCCAGCTCAAGTTTTTTATGTGACCTTCCCACCCAAGTCCTCTCTGAGCTGTGAGAAAGAATGGGAGCAGGGTGTTTAAACCCAAATCTGAGCTATGTTCTTAGCTGTGATGAAAAGTTCAAGAGTGTTAGGAGGCCGTGAGTGGTGGCTCAAGTGTGTAATCCCAGCACTCTGGGAGGCCGAGGCGAGCAGATCACCTGAGGTCAGGAGTTTGAGACCAGCCTGACCAACATGGTAAAAGCCCATCTCTACTAAAAATACAAAAAAAAAAAAAAAAAAAAGAAGTGTTAGGATCAGAATGGTGGGAGTTCCAATTCCTACTCTGCTACCTAATCCCTATGAGAATGTGGACAATTTACTGACCTTCTCAGAGCCAAGCCTCAGTACTCCATGTGTAAAATGTTTATCTGTAGCTAGAAGAATTATCCCAAGAAATAGGTGTAAACCACCTTGTAAAGTACCTGGCACAAATCATGAAATGTCATTTCCCTATCCCTTAACAATTGATGATCTCTGTGGCAGTCAGACAACTGGCCATATCTTTTTCAGGGATACAATGAGTAAAAAGTGTGCAACATTACAGGAATGATAAAAAAAGAATTTCTATTATCTAGCAGGGCACAAAGCCAGGGAAAATCTCATCCTAACTGGGGTCTGATTTCTTTTTGCAGGTAGAAAGTTATCGGGGTAAAACCTCCTTTAGAATACAGGGCCAATATCATATTAAAACTTCTGGACTATATCACTGTTTAAACGTATGGTTAAATGTACCTGAACATAGTTTACAGGTAACAGAACTGTGTTCATATGCAGCCTCCTGCTTCCACTACTACCTTGATTTATTTCTTTCTTGAAGCAGGAAGTGCTATTGCCTACAGGGATTTTTTATTTTTTTGTATTCAAGTTAATGTTCCTAAAATATGTTGTTACATGCTCTCCACTTTTATGGTAAAGCAGAACTATATTGAAATGCTTATTATCAAAATTCACGCATGATTTTAACCTATAGACATGAAAAGAAAAAAATTCAAATCGTTTTTTCACAGTGGAAACCCCCACTTTTTAAACAATGAATTGTCAGGGTTGGCTGTCCTACTGAGGCTACTGTTCTAGAAATGTTTGGCACCTGATAACCCTAGGCAGAACAAGAAAGCTATTCATTATCCAGTAACAAAATATACAATGTTAGATGTATTTTCTGGTATAAACTTCTCAGTACTTCCCATGACTAAGGCGGAGGAAGGAAGTTCTCCTTTCAGAGAACTGGTTTGGAGGAGAGAAGGGATGATTTTCTCTTTTATTGAAATATGTCATGGGTTTGATGAAAGTTATGTGTGATGCTTAAATATTTGCAGACTATACTAATTTGATTTTTCTATTGTAACCAGGAATATAGAAACAATGAGCAGATATTTAGATATATACCTATATAAGTGGAGTACACCCATATATTAATGGTAATAGGAATGGAATAAGTGAAAGAATAGGAGATACAAGAAAAAATAACTAAGAGACAGATGGCTTCAGAAGAGGAAAAGAAGATACTAAATGTAAAGAAAGAGGGACATAAAAATAAAACAGAGAGAGAGAGAACTCTAAAATATAAATAGAAGGCTGGGCACAGTGGCTCACGACTGTAATTCCAGCACTTTGGGAGGCCGAGGAGGGAGGATTGCTTGAGCCCAGGTGCTTGAGACCAGCCTGGGGAACATGGAAAAACCACATATCTACAAAAAATATAAAAATTAACTGAGTGTGGTGGTGCACATCTGTGGTCCCAGCTACTTGGGAGGCTGAGGTGGGAGGATCATTTGAGCCCAGGAGGCAGGGTTTCAGTGAGCCAAGATGGAGCCATTGCACTCCAGCCTGAGTGACAGAGCCAGATCCTGTCTCAAAAAATAAAATAAAATATAAATAGGAAACACAGTGCTAAAGAATCTGAACTCACTACCTGGGTTTTGGAGTAAGTATAGGAATGGAGTTGTTTATTTCTCCGTCTCCTTTACCTGCCAAGTCAACGAATTCACCACTGCATCACTCAAGCTCAGCACAACGCCAATAAACCAATAAAGTCTTGTTCCGTAACTGAGTGAGGCTGAGGAATCATCATAGAACTACTGAATGTTAGTTACAAAGACCTTGAAAGGTACACTCTCTTTGAAGCCAATGTTCACCCTATCTTGGTTCTTTCTGGTAACAAACAATACACTTCTCAAGACAGTTGGAGATAGATAGCTTTCTTCTAATAGGATAAAACCTCCTGCCTCTACCTACCAGGTTAGCCCTTGGAACTGTACCTGGCATATCTAACTTCTCTTCTACAGGACAGCCCAGCGGAAGCCAGCTTTACATGGCCTTTAAGATCACCTCGAAACCCCACTGGTTCCTCACACCACAGTTTCCAGTGCCTTCATCTTTATGACTCCATCCTGTAAGAGCATTTTCCTGATCTTCTTTTTTCCTTCCAAAGCATGGCTTCTTCTCTTGGTGTGGTCGGAACAACACAAAGGAAAGGGCCATGACTGCCCTCATTCCAGAGACTGAACGTGTAATACTATACCTTCGATTCAAATGACTTTTCTTTGAGTGGCCACATGGTAATAAGAAGAGCTCACCACTGAAGAGCACTTTACAGCTTACGTGCCTCATGCCTCACACCGAAAAACAGTCTTCGTCCTCTCCTTTGGGTACAAAGCTCTGGGGAATTTTTGAAATAGGACAAGGAAGTTTGTCTTTGATCAAACAAACTTCATGCACCAACTCTCCTTCCCACCCAGGGATGTTCCCAAGTGCCTTTCCACCAGCTTCTGCACTTAGCAAAGCTGACTCACCCTTACTTGCCAACATGCTGGGAGCTTCTCCATTAACTTTCCTTCTCAACAATCCCCTCCAAACCCTTTCCCAGACAAGCTCTTCTTCCTCCTGCCCAGCGTTCTGGTTAAGGGGATAAGTGCTGAGCCAGGTTACATCATTACTCAGGGCATGAATCCAGACAATTGATTTGACCTTCATTCCCTCTCCTGTAAAATGAGGTTAATAAAAATGCTGACCTTCTTAAGTCCCTGAGAGACAGAGCAATAAGTTGAAACCCCTCAAATGGGGCTGGGGACCCAGAAAGTCCTCAAGAAGCATTAGTTAGTATCACAATGCTTGCCCTGGGTGTGCCACCTGAGGAAGCCCCGTGATTTATTCAGTCACACTAAAGACTGGCTGACTACTGGCTTCAAACTGTGACGTGCAGGATTCCTTACACTGAGCTCCTGAAACTGTGCACAATTATGTGAATACAAGCATATTTCCCCTGAAATTCTTTACCCCAGGTGCAAAGTAGAGTCATCTGGAGAGCTTTTAGAAACCACTGATGTCCAGCCCCATCATCCCCAGCCAGATATTCCCACGCAAAGCATTCCTAAGTAAGGCCCTGGCACTTCTCCCAGTAAACGTAACAGGCAGCCAGGGGTAAGAACCATTGATGCATGGCAAGATTCTTAACAAAGGTGAGGTCATTTGTATGGTTTAGGAAAAATAAAATACCCATGCCAAACCTCCCAGAAACTCAGACCCTTTAGGTCTGAGTTAGGATCAAGTAACTGTTTTAAAAGCAATACAGGCGATTTGGCTAGAGGCAGGAGGCAGATAAATTCTAGGTAGACAGGGGCAGGACCCCACTGAAACTCCACCTTTGAGCCGAAAAGCCTGAAACCCATGACCCAAAGTGAGAACTTCTATCCCTGTTTGCCTGCTCTCTCCCAATTGGTTCTTTCTGAATAATGTCTTTTTACCAATCAAACGTTGCCTTTTCCAAAACTACCTACAGCCTGCCCCACCCCCGATCCTGTGCCTGTAAAGACCCCAGACTTAGTCGGTAGAAAGAGAGAAGTGGCTTGACTGGAGAAAGGTGACTTGACTTCAGAGGGACACCTGGACTTCAGAGGAGAAATGGCTTAACTTTGGACTTCGGGAGATTATTGTCTGTCCTGCCCCATCTCCAGCTTCCCTCTCTGCTGAGACCCATTTCCGTCGCTAAATAAAATTCTCTGCCTTCACCATCCTTCAGGTGTCCATGCTACCTCATTCTCCTTAGATGCCAGATAAGATCTTGGAACTCACCTAGTGCAGGTACCCAAAAAAGGCCATCACACTGGCCCTTTGCTCTCACTGGTGGAGCGATGAGGGCACTGTAACATGCCCTCTGGGACTTTAGGGTTGCAGGAACACCCACCTGGGTGCCACTGCATGGCCCACATGGAGTCTGCTCCTTCCAGCGCCCAAAGTGGCCGGCTGGATCCTACACTCACTCACTCATGTGCTTCCTCCTGCAAGAGGTTGAGCATGGCAGGCCAAGTAAACGGGTCACCCCTCTTCCAAGTCCAGTGAAAGGGTTGAGAAAAACCCTGCTTCAATTCTGATGTGCTCCAGAGAACCACTGGCTGGCAAATTTTCCTCACATTTTCCAAACATAATAAAAAAAAGTGGCTTCCTAACAAAAGTCAATGGCGTGGTATCTATCTAGGGTGAGGTTTCTTCTGCCAGGCTTCTCTTCTCCAGCCTCAGATGTTCAGCCCTAAGCTCCCTGGGGGCCAGCCCTGGCTCTTTTCCTTGCTAATCAGGCAAATCACCTACCAGATCAGCTTTCATCTTTACTGAGAATGAGGAAAAGCAGGAGAAATGGCTGAAACCATGGGGTTCCTTCTTCATCTTTATTCAGAATATTTTAGATTGAGTGAAATAGCTTTAAGAAAGTTGTTTCTATTTCTGTCAACATATGCATGTAGGAACAGATTTTTAACAATAACTGATAAAAATGAAATCCAGGAAGAAGTAGGATATTGTCACTTCATTTCACACTGCACCAAATATATATGTGCAAATTGACAAGCTTGTATAAAGAAACAAAAAATAAGCCCAAGTAAGGTAAGATATCTGAATTCCTTAATATAGTCTCTTTAAAAATTTATATATCAACATAGTTTTACCTCCTGGGCTTTCTTAAGATGAGTTTTTCATTATAACAAAATTGTTCTTCCCATATTTATGGTGTTAAAATGTCCTTTCTTTAATGAAATGATGGCACATTTGCTTTTTCATTGGTTTGTAATGACTTTGCTCTGATAAAGAACTGGAAACTGTATGTTGGTCAACCCCCATCTGCTGTGCATCCCCCACAACTTTTTAAAAAGCAATCTGTGAAATCCCAGAGTCTTGCAAACAGGTGGTCTCTGCATATCACTTTTCAAAGTGCTTAACTGATGTATAAACACCTGAACCCCACACAGACCTACACAATGAGTATCTCCCAAATACTGGCTTTAAACAAGTGCCCCAGACGCATGCTGAAATTTGACACCCAAACTGGAGGTATTGCATTTTCGTTGTTGTTTGTTTGTTTGCTTGTTTGAGACGGAGTCTTACTCTGTTGCCAGGCTGGAGTGCAGTGGCACAATCTGGGATCACTGCAACCTCCACCTCCTGGGTTCAAGTGATTCTCCTGCCTCAGCCTCCCAAGTAGCTGGGACTACAGGTGTGCACCACCACGCCCAGCTAATTTTTGTATTTTTAGTAGAGACAAGGTTTCACCATGATGGCCAGGTTGGTCTTGATCTCTTGACCTTGTGTTCCTCTCGCCTTGGCCTCCCAAAGTGCTGGGATTACAGGCGTGAGCCACTGCACCTGGCCGGTATTGTGTTTTTAAAAGGAAAGTTTCTTTACTCAAATGGATCTATAACTAGTGACACAACATAATGAAAGGAAGGATGAAGGATAAAATGTGTCAAGTATTTTGGGGAAGTGGGGATGAGTGAACTTGAAAAGTACTCTTTTAGAGTAATGAAAATAAAGCAGGGAAGAGGATGATGGATGGATGGATGGATGGATGGATGGATGGATGGATGGATGATGATGATGGTTGGGTAATTGATAGAGAAAAGAAAAGCAATGGAAACAGGAATAGAAAGAATTGGGAAGAGGGAGAGAATTAGATGAAGAGGAAGAGAAAGATAAGAAAGTGTGTAGATAGTGTCAAGGAAAGAATGCCAAGAGTTACTCTACAAATGGAAATAGTGATTATGTCCTCAGTTTTCTTTTCTGAAAATGAACAAAAAGGTTCTGCTTTCCAAGTGTAGCGTTGTCTATATCTATGGGGTAGACAAAGAAAAAGAGGAAAAAATGTGTTAGATTATGTATTCGTTTCCTATTGTCACTGTAACACATTACCACATTTTAGTGGCTTAAAATACAAATTTATACTTTTATAGTTTTGGAAGTCAGAAGTCCTAACATCTAGGTAGCCTTCCTGTGCACTTCTCTTGCAGCTCTGAGACCCAGCAACATCTTTGGGCTCTACTTTCTCATGATTCCCAAGATTGCCCTGGGGATACAGTTGCCAGATTTAGCAAATCAAATACAGGACACCCCAGCAGCTTTGAATTTCAGCTAGACAGCACGTGGGGTTTTTTTGTTTGTTTGTTTTTAAGTGGGCTCCAAATATTGCCTGGGACATAATAGCACTAAAAAAAATATGTTGTTCATCTGAAATTTGAAGTTAATGAGGTATCCTCTATTTTATTCTATCTGGCAAGCTTCCTTAGGGATTATACCTATTCCAACCAGCCAGATGGGGAAAAGATCATGAGTAATCATACTCTAGGGAGTATTTATGGTCCTGGCCAGGATGCATTTACTCATCAAGAATCAATTTGCTTCCCACTCTGGCCAGTTTTCTCTCACATCCCTCCACCAGCCACGCCTGTTTCTTCTAATCTGCTTTAATCATATTGCCACTCTTTTTATCATCCTCCCAAACTCCTCAATGTGTCCTGGGAGTCCCTGCCCCTAACCTAACTGGGCAGCCTCATTTATTCCTCACTCTTCTCTTCCCCAACTCCTGACGCCTTTCTTCCACACCTCATAGAAATTGCTGAGGAAAAGAGTCAAACTCTAAAATATCTGAAGAGATTTACTCTGAGCCAAATATGAGGGACCAATGGTCTGTGACACAGCCCTCAGGAGATCTCAAGAACTTGTGCCCAAGGTGGTCGAGGCACGGCCTAGTTTTATAAATTCAAGGGAGACAGGAGACATTAATCAAATACATGTAGATGTACATTGATTCAGTCCGGAAAGCCAGGATAACTCGAAGCAGTGGGGCTTCCAAGTTATAGGTAGATTTAAAATTTTTCTGATGGACAATTGGTTGAAAGAGTTATTATCTAAAGACCTGGAATCAATAGAAACAAGTGTCTGGTTTAGGATGATAAGGGGTCGTGAAGACCAAAGTTTTATCAATCAGATGAAGCCTCTAAGTAGCAGGCTTCCAAGAGAATAGATTGTAAATATTTCTTACCAGACTTCAAGGTCTGTGTCGATATTAATGCTGGTTGGCTTTTCCTGAATTCCAAAAGGAAGGAGGGTGTAATGTGGCATGTCCAACCCTCCCTTCACATTATGGCTTGAACCAACTTTGGAATGCCCTTGTCTGAGAAGAGGGGTCCATTCAGATGGTTGGCGGGGCCTTGTAATTTTATTTTTGGTTTACAAACTCTTTGAGCCAAAATGGAGTTCTTCTGTGCCTCAGTAATTGCTCAGAGAGGGAGGAAGGTCATGACTGAAATGGGCTGATTGTCACTTAAATTAACACCCAGTGCCCCACCAGGAGAAGGACCGAAAGCAAATCTTCCAACTTTCCTATGAAATCCCTGATTCCTTTTCCTCTGTCGATGGATTCTGGGTCCAGGGTCTTTAACTGGCTTGAGTAATTTTTGTTAGCATCTCCAAAAAGGTAAAAGAGAAACTGAGTATAGACAATACTGCAAAAATATAAATTCATTTAAGGGAGGGTGGTTTTTAGGCTTCCGTTCAAGAAAAATAGTCTGACCCAGTTTTCAACTAGGTCAAGATGTGGTAGACTGAGTTAAATCATGAAAGGCCCAAATTACCCTAGAGCAGAGGAAGATTTTTGTGAAGTCACTTCCTTGCTGCTTCATTTGCTGGAGTGAAACTTGCCTTTCCAGTCGAGTGAGTATGGTACCATGAGGGGGCGAGGGAAAATGAACTCATAACTTTAACAACCCTCTTCTTGCAATTTCCCATCCTCCTCCCAACTTTTACCAGGCTCACCATTCCTTTCTGCAATAGTTGGTTTTTCCCTGTTTTAATGAGTTGGAATGACCCCCTTTTCATCTCTTCCTTCCGCCTTTTCTTTTATTCTTAGCAGAGTAAGAGGGAAAGAGACTTGCAAGTTAGAACACGTAACAGTGTTCACTTTTTTCTTCTTCCTTATTTTCTCTGGCATCATAACTCTTACAAAGTTTTTGGTTCTTTCGCGTGAGTATTTACCTTAGCCTGTTTAAATGATCAAACTATTAAGATTCCTCTTATGCCATTCTAGTTTCTCTTATAAAGGCTTTTCCCATCACTTGGTTTTGTTGATCTTTGAAATTTGAGCCCTTTTGATTTCCTGCAAATGTTTGCTCTTTTAAGAAAGAGAAATAAAAATAAGCCACATTTTATTTTTGCCCCATGAACTTCTAATTTTCATGTTTCTATTAAACATTTCTGATCATTTCTCTTTTTTTCTGCTAAAACTTTTTTACTTTTCTCTCATTTATCTCTCCCCTTTTTCATCTAAGAGAGATCTTAAGAACGCAGCTTCCAAAGTCTTCTTTGCTTATTTCTTCCCTTTCACACTGCAATGCTTCCCGATACTTTTATCTTTTTATGTCTTTAATCTCTTTTCTCTGTTTCCCTCCTGACTCATTCCCTTCTCTCTCTTCCCCTTTGTATCTGTGCCTCAATTTTCTCAAGTTTTCCTTAGTTTTCTCTTCTTTTCTTTACATCTTCCTTGGTTTTTCCGTTAGTTTGTATTTCCTTGTTCTAAGGGAGAAGGAGGGATATCTTTTTTTTTTTTTTTTTTTTTTTTTTTTGAGACGGAGTCTCGCTCTGTTGCCAGGCTGGAGTGCAGTGGCGAGATCGCGGCTCACAGCAAGCTCCGCCTCCCGGGTTCACGCCGTTCTCCTGCCTCAGCCTCCCGAGTAGCTGGGACTACAGGCGCCCGCCACCATGCCCGGCTAATTTTTTGTATTTTTAGTAGAGACGGGGTTTCACTGTGTTAGCCAGGATGCTCTCGATCTCCTGACCTCGTGATCCGCCCGCCTCGGCCTCCCAAAGTGCTGGGATTACAGGCGTGAGCCACCGCGCCCGGCCGGAGGGATATCTTAGATATTCCTTTTTACTTCATAACAAAAATGTTCTTGCTTCCAAAAACTCTCCAGTAAATCTTCTAAACATGAACAGAACATATTCTGGCCTCTGACCTGCTTTGGGGGCCCCATTTCTTAAACCCTCACACTCACCTGGAGGGCCGGAGTAGAGGGAAGAATTGCAGTGCCGAAGGAGTGAAATAGACAAAGAAGACTTTAGCGTGAGTCTTGCCTCTGCCTAGACAGCTCTTTCCTTCTCTGCTAATTTCCTATTTTCCCTCTAAGACTTATCCATGGAGTGAGGACTTATTCTCACCTTCCTAGCCCTGTTGGCCAAATCTCATTTAACTTCATTATCACTCTAAATTCAAGGTGGGATTGTAAATTTGATCTTTTAAAAATTTTTTCAGTTACAGCAACATATGGAAGAATGCATAAAATAAATATACAGAATATTGAATCATTACTTTTTGAAAATCTGTGAAACTGCATGCAAATCAGCACTTCCTGAAACCTCATGTGTCTTGTTTCAGCCATACCCTGCTCACATGCTCCTGGAAACAACTACTGTCCTTTCCCTTCTGGTAATCACTTCTTCACTTTTCTTTATAGTTTCACTAGCTTTGTATGCATGCTTAAAAATAAAGTTTAATTTTTCCTGGTGTTGAATTTTATAGAAATAGGGTCATCTTGTGGGTGTTCTCTCTTGTCGTCTTCCTTTCAATCAATGCCATGTTTAAGATTCCAGGATGTTACTGCATTCAGCTGTAGTTTATTTTCTCTTCTGTCTAGATTTCCATTGTGTGTGATACCCCACAATTTATTTATTCTTTCTAAAGTTGATGGCCCAGTTTGGAGCTACAATAAACAATGCTTCTGAAAACATTCGTTTACAAGAATCCTGGCACATGTATGCATGCATTACTCAGGGACACGTATGAGAAAGAATTGCTGACTCACAGAGTATACATGTGTTCAGCTTTAGTAGAAAACGCCACACTGGGCCAGGCACAGTGGCTCACACCTGTAATCCCAGCACTTTGGGAGGCCGAAATGAGAGGACTGCTTCAGCCCAGGAGTTCAAGACCAGCCTGGCCAACATAGTGAGATCCTGTCTCTAAAAATAATAAAAATAAAAAATTAATCAGGCGTGGTGGCATGTGCCTATAGTCCCAGCTGCTTGGGAGTCTAAGGTAGGAGGATCATTTGAGCCCAAGAGTTTGAGCCTTCAGTGAGCTATGATCACACTGCTGGACTCCAGCCTGGGAACAGAGCGAGACTCTGTCTTCAAAAAGATTTTTTAAGACAAACTGTTTTTCAATGGGGTTACCACAGTTTTCTTTCTCACCAGCAATGTATGGGAATTCCTTTTGCTCCATAGCCTTGCCAAAACCCTTGCTTAACCAATGGGCAGAGATGGTATTTTCCGTCTCTATATACCTGGAGCTACAGGATTGACTGGCATGTAGAAGATGCTCTCATTCGTTATTTTATAAAATTCCCTTATGTTTATGAATCATTATAGACTTAGTCCAAGTCTAAAATTTTTCAAGGATCCATCTTAGGGGGATTTATGGTCAAGTGCATGTGAACAACACCAACTCTGGAAATTTTTTTTTTTTGAGATGGAGTTTCACTCCTGTTGCCCAGGCTCGAGTGCAATGGTGCAATCTCAGCTCACCGCAACCTCTACCTCCTGGGTTCAAGCAATTCTCCTGCCTCAGCGCCCTGAGTACCTGGGATTCCAGGCACTTGCCACCACGCCCAGCTAATTTTTTGTATTTTTAGTAGAAACGGGATTTCACCATATTGGCCAGGCTGGTCTTGAACTCCTGACCTCAGGTGACCCACCCACCTCAGCCTCCCGAAGTGCTGGGATTACAGGTGTCAGTCACTATCCCTGCCCTATATTGCTATGTTTCTTATGGAACATATCCTTAAACCCTCACCTCTAATACATAAATAGATGCCTAGTAAATTTTGTAAAATTACAAGTCATTATGTATGGATTTTTGTTAAAAGATGTCAAAGAAGACACATTTGGACACACCCAGCACTGTGTCTTCATACTTTTCTGGAGATCATTTATTTACTAGGAATGAGATGAAGTGAAGGGCTTCATGCACAGAAAGCTGAAACTTATATACACGTGTTCCAGGATTTTTTTTTAATGTCAGTGAAGTTTTGCTAATAAAAATTTCCCCACCTACAAGTGAATGTTTCCCTTAATTCAGATGTTAATTGAGTGTATGAGGTAATGCTCTACTTTTTTTTTTTAATGCCATTTGGTTAGGGTCTCTGTGATAAGGTGGCTTAAAATTCTCATCTTTAAATCTCTTCAAACTTTAAAACTTTTTCCCTTAAACAATGTACATTTGAAAGGTTTCTTCAGATAGAACACAGGTCTATTAGAAAATTGTTTCCCTTTATAAAGAATTTTTAACAAGTTTATAAGAAAAGAGAATATTAGTCATTAGAAAATTTGTGTAAATTGTTGTTAGACTTCAAAAAACAATGTTTGACACACAGAAAGGAAAGAACCCCCCTGGGCTTCATCTCACCCAGTTATCAGTCCCTAACAACTTCATGAAGTCATTTCCTAAATGATGGATAAATCCTTGTTAGAGCGTTATAGTCATCAATCAATAGAACAAAGAAAAGATTAAAACTTTATTCCAAATGATTGCATTTTAGGGCCAAGCACAGTGGCTCACACCTGTAATCTCAGCACTTTGGGAGGCTGAGGCAGGTAGATCACTTGTGGTCAGGAGTTCAAAACCAGCCTGGGCAACATGGTGAAACCTTGTCTCTAAAATTAGTTGGGCATGGGCATGGTGTGCGCCTGTAGTCCCAGCTACTCAGGAGGCTGAGGCAGGAGAATTGCTTGAACCTGGGAGGCGGAGGTTGCCTCCCAGGTTCAGTTGAGATCACGCCACTGCAAACAAGCCTGGCCAACATGGTGAAACCTTGTCTCTAAAATTAGTTGGGCATGGGCATGGTGGTGTGCACCTATAGTCCCAGCTACTCAAGAGGCTGAGGCAGGAGAATTGCTTGAACCTGGGAGGCAGAGGTTGCCTCCCAGGTGAGTTGAGATCATGCCACTGCACTCCAGCCTAGGTGACAGAGCGAGACTCCATCTCAAAAAAAAAAAAAAAATCTCATTTGGTTGAGTATAGTGGCTCACACCTGTAATCCTAGCATTTTGGGAGGCTGAGGCAAGAGGATTGCTTGAGGCCAGGAGTTCAAGAGCAGCCTGGACAACATAGAGAGATACTGTATCTACAAAAAATATAAAAGTTAGCCACCAGGTGTGGTGGTGTGTGGTTGTGTTCCCAGCTATTCAGGAGACTGAAGTAGGAGGACTGCTTGAGCCCAAGTGATCAAGGCTGCAATGAGCCATGATCACACCACCACACACCAGCCTGGGTGACAGCGCAAGACCCTGATGCAAAAAAAAAAAAAAAAAAAAAAAAAAAATATATATATATATATATATATATATCAAATTATCAAATTTGCCCTCTTGGTCAGCCATGTTGTTTTTTTGAAGTCAGAAATAAAGGATGTTTTGCAAGAAGAGGTTGTCATCAGCAAAGGGGGAAAGCACATCATTAAATGACAAGGACTTTGTTGAGTAGAAAGAGCAATGAGCTGGGGCTAGGAGGTTTCCCATGCTATAGCCTTCTTGGTGTATACTTGAACAAGCTCCCTGAACATCAATTTCTTCACTTGTAAAATTAGATAAATTAGATAATATCCAAAATCACATGCAGGCTTTAGTTTATGTGATTGAGTGATTGATACTAAGGTCCGGAAGTAATGAGAAAGTAAAACTTTTATTTTAATCAGAGAAAGATCACAATGTAACTGCCCTATGGGTTCTTCTTGCCCTGATAGAATCAATTTATCAAGACAGGAGAATTTCAATAGAGAGTTTAATACACACAGAGCCGACTAAACAGGAGACCAGAGTTTTATTATTACTAAGTTCAGCCTCCCTGAAAATTCAGAGGCCAGGTTTTTTTGTTTTTGTTTTTGTATTTTTTTGTTTTTGTTTTTTGTTTTTAGACAGGATCTTGCTCTGTCTCCCAGACTGGAGTCCAGTGGCATGATCACGGCTCACTGCAACCTCAACCTCCTGGGCTCAAGCAATCCTCCCACTCCAGCTTCCCAAGTAGCTGGGACTACAGATGCATGCCACCACGCCTGGCTAATTTTTGTATTTTGTGTAGACATGGGGTTTCACCATGTTGCCCAGGCTTGTCTCAAACTCCTGAGCTCAAGTGATCGACACCTCTTTGGCCTCCCAAAGAGTTACGACTACAGGCATGCTCCACCACACATGGACCAGAGGCTAGGATTTTTTTTAAAGATAGTTCGGCAAACAGAGGCTAGTGAATGCGGAATGCTGATTGGTTGGGCCAGGGATGAAATCATAGGAAGCCATCCTCTTGCTTTGAGTCAGTTCCTGGGTTGGGGGCACAAGACCAGATGAGCCAGTTTACCATTCTGGGTGGCAACAGCTGGTTCATCAGAATGCAGTCATAAAAATTCTTTGAACACCAATCGTCTTAGGTCTTACAATAGTAATGTTATCTATAGGAGCAATTGAGGAGGTTAGGAATCTGGTGGCCTCTGACTGCATGACTCCTGGGCCATAATTTCTAAACTTGTGGCTAATTTATTAGTTTTACAAAGGCAGTCTGGTCCCCAAGCAAGAAAGGGCTTTGTTTTGGGGTAGGACTATTATCATCTCGGTTCTAAAGTTAAACTATAAGTTAAATTCCTCTTATAGTTAGCTCAGCCTAGGCCCAGGAATGAACAAGGGCAGCTTAGAGGTTAAAGGTAAGATGGGGTCAGTTAGGTCAGACCTCTTTCACTGTCATAATTGTTCTATGTCATATTTTTCTCATTGTCATAATTTTTACAAAGATGGTTTCAGTAATGTATTACATATTCAAGAAATTAAACAAAAAACCCACTACGCATTTACCAAAATGGCTTTAAAAAATTTAAAAACAACAGCACTAAATGTTGGCAAGTATGTGGAGTAACTGGAACACCTATGTATGGTTGGTGGGAGTTTGAAATGTTATAACCATTTAGGAAAAAGGTCCATCGCTTTCTTATAAAACTAAACATACATTTATCCCCGACCCAGCAATTCCGCTTCTAATGTACCAAGGAGAAATAAAAATATATGTCTACAAAAAGATTTGTACAAGTGTGTTCATAACAGTGTAAAACAAAAATGAAATTCTAAGCCTCCCATCTGACTTAACGGACCCTCTCTCCTGATTGGCCAAGGGGATCCTAAAGAAAACCTAAAAGCTATTTCAGGCTATGAGGGGAAGGGAGGTCAAACGTGCCTCATTATACCCCGTGTTGTTGAAGTTTAAGCAAAATTGACCAGCATTAATATTAAAACAGAGATCCTAAGACTGACAAAACAGACTATTTGTAGCAATGAGATACTGTACTCCAACCTACCCCTGATATAGCATCACACAAAATATAGCAGGCCCTGAAGGAAATCAAAGTATTTTATCCCAAAATATATTTCTTTGACATGTATTGAAATGGCCCTGCAAAGCCATCTTTTATGGGGAAAATTTGCATTTTGTAGAGAATTCCCTTCCCTTTCTAGGTCTTCTCCTTATTCAGGAGAGACTTAACTAAGAGACTGGCATCTTTTAAGGTCTAATAAGAGACTGTTATCATCTATTCTCTCTGAACCCTGCTACCTGGAGTCTTCATCTACATAATAAGAACCTTGGCTTCCCCCTTATCTTCACTCAAGCATTTCTTTCTGCTAACTTCAATTCTTCAGGCAAAGCTTAACCTTTTCAACCAATTGTCACTCAGAAAATCATTGACTCTGCCTATGACCCATAGCTACCCTCTTCAAGATATCCCACCTTTCTGGGCCAAATCAATGTATATCTTACATGTATTGATTTACATCTTTGCCTGTAACTTCTGTCTCCCTGAAAGATATAAAACCAAGCGGTAACCCAACACCTTGAGCTCATGTTCTCAGGACCTCTTGAGGCTGTCTTCTGAGCCATGGTCTTATATATTTGGCTCAGAATAAACCTCTTCAAATATTTTACAAAGTTCAGCTTTTTGTTGGTCAACAACAGCTTTATTCATAATAATCCAAAACTGAAAATAGCGGGGATGTCCATCAAGAGGTGAATGAATGAACAAACTGTGGTATATCTATACAATGAACCACTATTCAACAATAAAACAGGAAATACACTATTCAGTTAGTAGCATTGCTAAGAAAAGAAATAAACAAAATGGGCTACATACATGTTACAACATAGATGAATCTAAAAATCATGCCAAGTGAAAGAAATCACATACTGTATGTTTCAGTTTGTTCTTGCATTGCTATAAAGACATACTTGAGACTAGGTAATTTATAAATAAAAGAGGCTTTCTTGGCTTATAGTTCCACAGGCTATATAGGAACCATGATGCTGACATCTGCTCAGCTTCTGAGGAGGCTTCAAGAAGCTTACAGTCATGGCAGAAGGCGAAGGGGGAAAAGGCATGTCTTACGTGGCAGGAGCAGGAACCAGAGAGCAAGGCGGGAGGTGCTGCACATATTTTAACAACCAGATCTCATGAGAATTCACTCACTATTATGAGAATGACACCTAGAAGATTGTGCTAAGCCACTCATGAGAAATCCACCCCCATAATTCAACCACCTCCCACCAGGCCCCACCTCCAACATTGGGGATTACAATTTGACATGAGATTTGGTGGGGACACAGATCTAAACCATATCACTGTATGATTCCATTTATATCAAGTTTTAGAACTAATCTATGTGGGAAAATTAATAACAGTGTTTGTCTCTGGGGTTGATGTTAATTATTGATGAAAAAAGGTGTGAGAGAACTTTCTAGGGTGACGATAACACTATATATCTTTGGGGTTTGGATTTGCACTTTGACAAGTGCATGCATTTGTCAAAATTTATGGAATGGTACACTTAAGATTTATGCATTACATTTTATGTTGATTACGCTAAGCATGATAAACAAATATTGAACCATAGTTAACGATAGGTAGTTTGAAATAGGGAGAGGTAGAGAACACTACGTCTGCAACTTATTTTGAACTTTTTCAAAAAATATGTTGGGTTGATGGTGGATAGAATTAGGAGATGAAGCAAATTGGAATTACATATATTAATCACAGTGTCTTGTTAGTGGGGAGGTGTGTTCACTATACAGCTGTTTCAATATTTTTATATAAATTTGTACAATAAAATGTTAGGAAAACAAATCAAAAATTAAAGTGAAAAGGAAAGAAATGAACCTGATTATTTGTCAAGATGATACTATACCATAGAGAAAAAAAGTTATTTAAAGTCATTTTTTTAACACAACGCTTTGTAATAACTTAGTGGGATAGGGTGGACAGCAAGATGGCCAAATAGGAACAGCTCCAGTCTGCAGCTCCCAGTGAGATCAACACAGAAGGTGGGTGATTTCTGCATTTCCAACTGAGGTACTCAGCTCATCTCATTGGGACTGGTTAGACAGTGGGTGTAGCCCACAAAGGGCAAGCCAAAGCAGGGTGGGGCATTGCCTCACCCAGGAAGTGCAAGGGGTCAGGGAACTCCCTCTCCTTGCCAAGGGAAACCCTGAGGACTGTGCCGTGAGAAATGGTACATTCCGGCCCAGATACTATGCTTTTCCCACAGTCTTCGCAACCTGCAGACCAGGAGATTCCCTTGGATGCCTACACCACCAGGGCCCTGGGTTTCAAGCACAAAATTGGGCGGCCCTTTGGGCAGACACCAAGCTAGCTGCAGGGGTTTGTTTTTGTACCCCAGCTGTGCCTGGAATGCCAGTGAGACAGAACCGTTTACTCCCCTGGAGAGGGGGCTGAAGCCAGGGACCCAAGTGGTCTTGCTCAGTGGATCCCAGCACCACAGAGCCCAGCAAGCTAAGATCCACTGGCTTGAAATTCTTGCTGCCAGCACAGCAGTCTGAAGTCAACCTGGGACACACTCAAGCTTGGTGGGGGAGGGGCGTCCACCATTGCTGAGGCTTGAGTAGGCAGTTTTCCCCTCACAGTGAAAACAAAGCTTCTGGGAAGTTCAAACTGGGTGGAGCCCACCACAGCTCCGCAAAGCCTATCTAGCCAGAGTGCCTCTCTAGATTCCTCCTCTCTGAGCAGGGCATCTCTGAAAGAAAGGCAGCAGCCCCAGTCAGGGGCTTATAGATAAAACTCCTATCTCCCTGGGACAGAGCACCTGGGAGAAGGGGCACCTGTGGGCACAGCTTCAGCAGACTTAAATGTTCCTGCCTGCTGGCTCTGAAGAGAGCAGTGGATCTGCCAGCACAGCGCTTGAGCTCTGATAAGGGATAGACTGTCTCCTCAAGTGGGTCCCTGATGCCCATGCCTCCTAACTAGGAGACATCTCCCAGCAGGGGTTGACAGACAACTCATATAGAGGAGCTCTGGCTGGCATCTGGTGGGTGCCATTCTGGGAAGAAGTTTCCAGAGGAAGGAACAGACAGCAATCTTTGCTGTTCTGCAGCCTCTGCTGGTGATACCTTGGCCAACAGGGTCTGGAGTGGACCTCCAGCAAACTCCAGCAGACCTGCAGCAGAGGGGCCTGACTGTTAGAAGGAAAACTAACAAACAGAAAGGAATAGCATCAACATCAACAAAAAGGACGTCCACTCAAAATCCCCATCCAAAAGTCACCAACATCAAAGACCAAAGGTAGATAAATCCACGAAGATGAGGAAAAACCAGCGCAAAAAGGCTGAAAATTCCAAAAACCAGAACGCCTCTTCTTCTCCAAAGGATCACAACTCCTCACCAGCAAGGGAACAAAACTGGACAGAGAATGAGACTGACGAATTGACAGAAGTAGGCTTCAGAAGGTGGGTAATAACAAACTCCTCCGAGCTAAAGGAGCATGTTCTGTCCCAATGCAAGGAAGTTAAGAACCTTGAAAAAAGGTAAGAGGAATTGCTAACTAGAATAACCAGTTTAGAGAAGAACATAAATGACCTGACAGAGCTGAAAAACACAGCATGAGAACTTCATGAAGCACATACAAGTATCAATAGCTGAATCAATCAAGCAAAATAAAGGATATCAGAGATTGAAGATCAACTTAATGAAATGAAGCATAAAGACAAGATTAGAGAAAAAAGAATGAAAAGGAACGAACAAAGCCTCCAAGAAATATGGGACTATGTGAAAAGACCAAACCTACGTTTGATTGGTGTACCTGACAGTGGCGGGGAGAATGAAACCCAGTTGGAAAACACTCTTCAGGATATCATCCATGAGCATTTCCTCAGCCTAGCAAAACAAGCCAACATTCAAATTCAGGAAATACAGAGAACACCACAGAGATACTCCTTGAGAAGAGCAACCCCAAGACACATAATTGTCAGATACACCAAGGTTGAAATGAAGGAAAAAAATGTTAAGGGCAGCCAAAGAGAAAGGTCAGGTTACCCACAAAGGGAAGCCCATCAGACGAACAGTGGATCTGTCTGCAGAAACCCTACAAGCCAGAAGAGAGTGGGGGCCAATATTCAACATTGTTAAAGAAAAGCATTTCCAATCCAGAATTTCATATCCTGCCAAACTAAGCTTCATAAGCAAAGGAGAAATAAAATCATTTACAGACAAGCAAATGCTGAGAGATTTTGTCACCACCAGGCCTGCCTTACAAGAGCTCCTGAAGGAAGCACTAAACATAGAAAGGAAAAACCTGCGCCAGCCACTGCAAAAACATAACAAATTGTAAAGACCATCGTGACTATGAAGAAACTGCATCAACTAACAGGCAAAATAATCAGCTAGAACCAAAATGACAGGATCAAATTCCCACATAACAATGTTAACCTTAAATGTAAACAGGCTAAATGCCCCAATTAAAAGACACAGACTGGCAAACTGGATAAAGAGTCAAGACCCATCGGTGTGCTGTATTCAGGAGACCCATCTCACATGCAGAGACATACATAGGCTCAAAATAAAGGGATGGAGGAATATTTACCAAGCAAATGGAAAGCAAAAAAAAAAAGCAGGGATTGCAATCCTGGTCTCTGATAAAACAGACTTTAAACCAACATAGATCAAAACAGACCAAGAAGGGCATTACATAATGGTAAAGGGATCAATTCAACAGGTAGAGCTAACTATCCTAAATATATATGCACCCAATACAGGAGCACCAAGATTCATAAAGCAAGTTCTTTGAGGCCTACAAAGAGACTTAGACTCCCACACAGTAATAGTGGGAGACTTTAACACCCCACTGTCAATATTAGACAGATCAATGAGACAGAAAATTAACAGGGATATTCAGGACTTGAACTCAGCTCTGGACCAAGCAGACCTAATAGACATCTACAGAACTCTACACCCCAAATCAACAGAATATACATTCTTCTTGACAACACATCGCACTTATTCTAAAATTGACCACATAATTGGAAGTAAAACACTCCTCAGCAAATGCAAAATAATGGAAATCATAACAAACAGTCTCTCAGACCACAGTGCAATCAAATTAGAACTCAGGATTAAGAAACTCACTCAAAACCACACAACTACATGGAGACTGAACAACCTGCTCCTGAATAACTACTGGATAAATAACAAAATTAAGGCAGAAATAATAAGTTCTTTGAAACCAATTAGAACAAAGACACAACGTACCAGAATCTCTGGGACACGGCTAAAGCAGTGTTTCGAGGGAAATTTGTAGCACTAAATGCCCACAGGATAAAGCATGAAAGATCTAAAATCAACACCTTAACATCACAATTAAAAGAACTAGAGAAGCAAGAGCAAACAAATTCAAAAGCTAGCAGAAGACAAGAAATAACTAAGATCAGAGCAGGACTGAAGGAGATAGAAACACAGAAAACCCTTTGAAAAAATTGATGAATTCAGGAGCTGATTTTTTGAAAAGATTAACAAAATAGATAGACCACTACTGGCCAGACTAATAAAGAAGAAAAGAGAGAAGAATGAAATAGACACAATAAAAAACGATAAAGGGGATATCACCACTGATCCCACACAAATACAAACTACCATCAGAGAATACTATAAACACTTCTACACAAAAAAACTAGAAAATCTAGAAGAAATGGATACATACACTGTCCCAAGACTAAACCAGGAAGAAGTCGAATCCCTGATTAGACCAATAACAAGTTCTGAAATTGAGGCAGTAATTAATAGTATACCAACCAAAAAATGCCCAGGACCAGATGGATTCACAGCCGAATTCTATCAGAGGTACAAGAGGAGCTGGTACCATTCCTTCTGAAACTATTCCAAACAATAGAAAAAGAGGGACTCCCCCCTAACTCATTTTATGAGGCCAGCATCATCCTGATACCAAAACCTGGCAGAGATAAAAAAAAAAAAAAGAAAATTTCAAGCCAATATCCATGACAAACATCAGTGTGAAAACCCTCAATAAAATACTGGCAAACCAAATCCAGCAGCACATCAAAAAGCTTATCCACCATGGTCAAGTCTGCTTCATCTCTGGGATGCAAGGCTGGTTCAACGTATGAAAATCAATAAATCTAAAACAAAAATGCAAGAAATTAAGTAAAAACTCTGTAAAATTAAATGTTATTGGAAATATCAATATAAACTCACACATTTTCACAATATATTTCCTAGTTCTTCCCTTATGGATAATATTAGGAGCTATAACACCTGTTTGCAAAGAGTACCTTAGAATTCAGATTTTGGTTTCTATGTGCTGTCACCTGCCATCCACAACATAACCATGGCTTCTTGGAGAAATAGCTGATTCCAGGTCTGAGGTAGAGAAGGCCAAAGGCAAGCCTGAGACATCTTGTTACAGAAAGCCAGAAATGCTCAAAGACTAGTGGGCACATGTCAAAAGGGCACAGGAGCTATATCTGGGTTAACACGGGCTCCACAAACCCTAACCCTAACTCTAACCTTAGTGCTAACCCTAACTTACGTCTGAGTCTTTAATCCATCTTGAGTTAATTTTTCGATAAGATATAAGGAAGGGGGAGGTAACATGGGTTAACTTGGGCTCCACAACAGTAAGTGATTGCAAAACCTTGAATAAATAAAAATCCATACCATATAGAAAGAGGAAGGGAAACATACATTTGCTGTCACTGACAGTTGTCTGTCACATCAAATCCTTACTCTGAAAAATTGTTACATTTTTCTAACTCTATCTTCAGGGACTGAGGAAAAGCTCATTTTTACAGAGGAATTATAGCTGATCAATGCAGAAGGAATAATAAGAGATTTTTTAAAACCATCAAAAAAGTAATTGATTCAGGCCAGGATCATCCATGGATTTAAAAATATTACTATTCAAAATCATAATGGGGAACAGGATATTGGCATCATGTCAAAATGTCACCCCATGGATTACTCATTATTTGCATAGGGAAGACCCTCCCTTACAATGGAGAGATCTGGCTGGCATCCTGCGATGATCACCAAGTGATCAAATTCGCTTCACTAATTATGCAACAAACTACCATTATTTGCCTTGTGAAGGGAAGCATGTAATCCAAACATCTCCTATAAAATTATGTCAATTTTACCCAAATTTACTCAGCTTTTAGACTTAACTTCCAGTTTGAAGAAAATGTGGAAGTCAGAGAAAATATTAAATTAAAAGAAGCAACCACCAAATGCAGAATGTAAAATGTAACAAATAATTCTTTTTTAATTTTTTTTTTCTTTTTTTTTTTTTTTGTACAGACAGGAATCTCACTATGTTGCCCAGGCTGGTCTTGAACTCCTAGCTTCAAGCAATCCTCCTGCTTTGGCTTCTTAAAATACTGGGATTACAGGCGTGAGCCACCATGGCCAGCCCACATAACTCTTCAAAAAGTCAACGTGGGCTGGGCGCGGTGACTCGTGCCTGTAAGTTCCAGCACTTTGGGAGGCCAAGGGAGGTGAATCACTTGAGGTCAGGAGTTCAAGACCAACCTGGCCAACATGGTGAAATCCGATCTCTACCAAAAATACAAAAATTACCAAGGCGTGGTGGTGCTCACCTGTAATCCCAGGTACTCGGGAGGCTGAGCCAGGAGAATGGCGTGAACCCCAAGACGGAGGCTGCAGTGAGCTGAGATCATGCCACTACACTCCCACCTGGATGACAGATCTCAACTTGGTCTCAAAAAAAAAAAAAGTCAACTTTTTTTTTTTTTTGAGATAACTAGAGAAATCTGGTGAAATTTCTAGATTAAAAAAGGTATAACTTCCCAGGCACAGTGGCTCAGTGGCTCATGCCTGTAATCCCAGCACTTTGGGAGGCAGAGGAGGGAGGATTGTTTGAGCCCAGGAGTTCGAAACCAGGCTGGGTAACATGACGAAACCCCATCTCTACAAAAAATTAAAAAATTAAAAAAAATTAAATTAATTTTAATTAGATTAATTAAATTTAAAAAACCTTTATTAGAACCTAATTTGGAAGGGAGAAAGAACAGCCAAAAAAGACATGTGGAACACAATTCAGGGAATTGTAATATGGATTGGACAATAGATGTATTAAAGAATGAGTGGTAACTTTATTAGGTGTGATATTGACATTGATGATGGAGGAGAATTTCTGTAGGAGACCCATGCTAAATTCTTAGAAGTGAGATCGCATTGTGTCTGCAACTTACTTTGAATACTTCAGCTCAAAAGTTCAGACAGAGAGAGACTGAGCAAGAGCAAGAGAACAATATGGTAAAACAACTGTTGAAACTAGCGGGTGGTACCTGGTGCTCATCGTACTGGCCTTTGAATTTATTTGTATTTTTGAAAATCTTTTATAATAAAATGTTTTAACAAAAAGGAGAGTAATGAATAAGATCATCTTTTATAAGCTCATAACAGAGAGTGTGTTTTGAAAATAGGACAATATCAAATCAAAATGAATTTAAATAAAATTATTAAATATTTGAATAAAGTAAACAAAACCGTGGTTCTGTTCACCATGAGTAACACAAGGGTATCTGACTTCTAGTACTGGTCTTTTCTAATCTATCCTAAGACTTGCTGCCAAAATCAGTTTTCAAAAAAAAGATCTGATCATGTTATTCTTCTTTCGATGGCTTAGGATCAAATCCTAACTTCCATTGGAAGACTCCTGACACACTCCTATTCACATTCCCCACAACAGCCAAACAAATGACTTGTTCTTCTTCATAAAAATGCCCTTTTTTTTTTTTTTTTTTTGAGACAGAGTCTTGCTCTGTTGCCCAGGCTGGAGTGCAGTGGTGGCACAATCTTGGCTCACTGCAATCTCCGCCTCCTGGGTTCAAGCGATTCTCCTGCGTCAGCCTCCCGAGTAGCTGGGATTACAGGCATGTGCCACCACACCCGGCTAATTTTTATGCTTGTAGTGGAGATGGGGTTTCACCATGTTGGCCAGGCTGGTCTCGAACTCCTGACCTCAAGTGATCCACCCTCCTCAGCATCCCAAAGTGCTAGGATTACAGGCGTGAGCCACCGTGCCCGACCCATAAAAATGTCTTTTGTACCAAAGCTTTCTTTGTTCTCTCAGTATGATGGATAACATAGATTGGCTCACTCAACTTCCAGGCAACCTTTTTTTCCTAACTGGAGAGGTTAGAAAGTTAAAAGCAACGTTTTTGAAAACTGCCTTTCAGCTAGAGTGCTGGATGTGAATGGGGTCTGCCTATTAGATGAACTAGTACAAGATTTGTAATGCAGAAATGAGGAAAGGTCTTGTTTTTGTTTTTGCTTTTGAGACAGGATCTTGCTCTGTCACCCAGGCCAGAGTGCGAAGGCATGACCATGGCTCATTGCAGCCTCAACCTTCCAAGCTCAAGCGATCCTCCCATCTCAATCTCTTGAGAAGCTGTGACCACAGGCATGCACCACCATGCCTGGCTAATTTTTTTTTTTAATTTTTTGAGACAGGGTCTTGCTCTGTTGCCTAAGCTGGAGTGCAGTGACACGATCTCAGCTCACTGCAATCTCCACCTCCCGGGCTCAAGCGATCCTCCCATCTCAGCCTCCCAAGTAGGTGGGACTACAGGTATGCACCACCACACCCAGTTAATTTTTGTATTTTATGTAGAGACGGGGTTTCCCCATGTTACCCAGGCTGGTCTCAAACTCCTGAGCTCAAGCAATCCACCTGCCTTGGCTTCCCAAAGTGCTGGGATTACAAGCATGAGCCACTGCACCCAGCCCAATTTTTTATTTTTTTTGTAGAGACAGGGTCTTCCTATGTTGCCCAGGCTGGTCTCGAACTCCTGGCCTCAAGCAATCCCCCTGCCTCACCCTCTCAAAGTGCTACCATTACAGGCATGAGCCACTATGCCAGGCTAGGGTCATCTTTACATCTATTTTTTCTGGTCTTTGCTACCTGGAAAATTCATAGATCATGAAGTGTTTCTGCAAGCATTCCATATCCTTCACCAACTTCAAGGGTAGCAAGCTGTCGGGGCTTCTTGATGAGGCTTTCTAATCCCTGGATTGTAGCTATTGGGGGTCCAGTCTCTAGTTTCTTAGTAGTCTAGGTGTGGGTGAAGTGGTGGTCACATTGCCAGCACAGCAGTTGGTGACTCCAATCAATATTCTTTTTTTTTTTTTGAGATGGAGTCTCACACTGTCACCCAGGCTGGAGTGCAGTGGTGCGATCTCTGCTCGCTGCAACCTCTGCCTCCCGGGTTCAAGCAATTCTTCTGCCTCAGCCTCCCAAGTAGCTGGGACTGGAAGCATGCACCACCATGTCCGGCTAAGTTTTTGTATTTTTAGTAGAGACGGGGTTTCACCATGTTGACCAGGATGGTCTGGAACTCCTGACCTCGTGATCCACCTGCCTTGGCCTCCCAAAGTGCTGGGATTATAGGCGTGAGCCACCATGCCCGACCTACTCCAATCAATATTCTTAATTCCAGCACAGCTCTCATGGTGGGTCACTTCTTTCTGTTTCTATAATTATTCCCAGAGAACCAATTATGAACCAATCCTTTCAGCCCTTCCAGTAATTTTCTATGGCCAGATTTCCTGTATTAAATCCCTTCTTGATTAAATTACTTGCAGCGATTTTCATTTTCCACTCTGAACTCTGATAAAGCTCTATGAATCTAAGAAATAAATATCTTAAAAAAATAATGTTTTGGGCCAGGCATGGTGGCTCATGCCTGTAATCCCAGCACTCTGGGAGGCCAAGGCAGGTGGATCACCTGAAGTCAGGAGCTCAAGACAAGCCTGGCCAACATGATGAAACCCCATCTCTACCAAAAATAAAATAATTAGCCAGGCGTGGTGATAGGTGCCCGTAATCTCAGCTACTTGGGAGGCTGAGGCAGAAGAATCACTTGAACCCGGGAGGCGGAGGTTGCAGTGACCCAAGATCGTGCCATTGCACTCCAACTAGGGCGACAAGAGTGAAACTCCATCTCAAAATAATAATAATAACAATAATAATAATAATATTTTGAAATGACAGGAACTTACACTTAGGCAAGGATACCAAAACCTGGAATATCAAACCACCCTTGGACACTTAGGAAAAAAAATTGATTTCCTGACTCCACCCCAGACCTATAGGATAAGATCCTATCTTATCCTATACATTTTTAAATCCCCAGGTGATAACGATGCAACCTACCTAGCACGGAAGTGCATGGACTCATATGTAAGACTTAAGGGTGTCAAGTCTCATAGACATCATGAAACCCAATCTGTTGCAAGACTCTCAAGGCTGACATTTTGTTATTTCCCAACTTTCCTCTCCTACAGCCTACAAATTATTATCTGCAGTAATTTATTAGCCTGGCAGGGACAGTCTACTAAGGAAAGCCACCTTTGTAGAAAAAAATGAAATCACTTCTTTCAAAACTGCATAACAAAGTAAATTCACAGATTAAACTGTGACTTAAAAATCCACATTTTACTTTACAAAATATATAGTGAACTTATAGTAGTATGTGATATACAACTAAGCTCTTTAAAGATATTTTTAATAGCTCAAAACACATTCCAGATATTATTAATATACTAAAACAGGATCTCAAAGTAATATATCACAGAAACATGGTATTACAAGATTAGAAGCAACCTTCAAGATAATTATTCACAACAGGGACCTATAGTGGAAAGCATAGTCCGAAAATAAAGACACTGGGCCCGGCGTGGTGGCTCAAGCCTGTAATCCCAGCACTTTGGGAGGCCAAGGTGGGTGGATCACCTGAGGTCAGGAGCTCAAGACCAGCCTGGCCAACATGTTGAAACCCGGTCTCTACTAAAAATATAAAAATTAGCTGGGTGTGGTCGTGGACACCTGTAATCCCAGCTACTTGGGAGGCAGAGGGAGGAATCGCTTGAACCCAGGAGGCAGAGGTTGCAGTGAGGTAAGATCTTGGCACTGCACTACAGCCTGGGTGACAGAGTGAGATTATGCCAAAAAAAAAAAAAAAAAAAGAAAGAAAGGAAGGAAGGAAGGAAGGAAGGAAGGAAGGAAGGAAAGAAAGAAAGAAGGAAGGAAGGAAAAGAAACAAAAGAAAGACATTGAAAAAAAGAGAATTCAGAGGCCCTTCACCTTGATCTTTTACTGAGTTGCTGGTTGAACAACAAACACTGTATTTAATGGGGCATATGGGGCTCTTTTCAAATAAATGCCAATCTGTGTTCACTATCCTACTTAATCATTCTTTAATTTTTCCTGAAATCTTACCTTGAGGTGTTTCCTAAGCTAATCCCTTCTGTTGATCCTGCACTAATGTGCAAACAGTTGGAGAGTTGATCAAAGATGAACAAGAAAAGCAAAATAATGAAAAAGTAACAAAAATCTGTAATTTTGAAAGAGGCGAGTGATTGTGGAAATGTGTAAAAGGTACTTGAATCAGAAAATGAAGGCAGAGGGGCAAAGTTTCCTCCAACATCACCTTTAAAAGCCTGAGAAATAATCGAGAATGAATGCCTATCCACTCCTAATATTCTGAGTCTGACAAGAAGGCTGAGGGAGTGCTGCTTTCTGTTGATTGCAGAAGTGGACCACAGCTGTGCCCAGATTGCTTTCAATTCCTCACCTCTCTTCTGGGTATCACTTACATTGAATTCTTTGAAAATTGTAAGACTGAATGGCTAACTGTTAATGCAACATCAGAAATATTCTGACCTGATTTTCAAGGTGGAGAATTGACATTAGTAAATAAATGCACATGAGATACATTTTGAAACCCATCTGGGTCTGTTCAGAAGCAAGTTCATGGTTAATAATTTCATATAGACTCTGCATTTGATAAGTAGAATATCAGGATCTCAGAGTTTAGGGTAAAAGGTGGACCCAATACTACCAGTTCTCACTAGTCCTTATTTGCAGTGATTGTCTGTAAGGACTAGTGAGCTCATAGAAGAAAAGAAAAACTTGATTTAGCGACTTGAAATACATAAAGAAAATCAAACGTATTGTGTTGTATTTGGGCAAGTGACCTCAAGATCATGAATTTATCAGATATTTACAGGGTTTCTAGCACGTGACAGACACTCTGTCCAGCCTGGGATTGAGTGGTGGGCAGGGTCTCTGTTATCAGGCAGCTTACATTCTGGGCACGTTACAGTGTACCTGAAATGCTACCAATGGTCTGATTATCTCATTCTGCTCAGAATTCTTAAGGCATGGACTTTACAGCCAAGTTGACCTGTACTTGGACCTGGACCTCACCTCTTGCTGAACATGTAAGCCTGGGTGCTTGTTCCACCTACTATCTCTCCTCTCCCCCTGGTCCCCAGGGTGGACATGTCCATCAACACAGCACCATGTTGGAATGGGAAATGACCTGGTCCCATGGTGTAGAGAGACAAAGCTCACCTATGTCCTTCAGATGAGGAAGGCCAGTTCTTGAAGGAAGAAAACAACATTTTCCCTGCAAACTCCCTCTTAATCAACTTTCCAGCTTCAAGGATCCATCAGAGAGGACCTCTTCAGGCTGATCCTGACCTTCACAGAGATAAGCAGGCCTGCTTCCTCTCTCATGAACTTTGACCAGAGAGCAAACTCACCTAACCATGAGAATCAGCCTGGCACTTGTAGAAGTACAGATTCCTGGACTCTATGCCTACTAAGTCAGAATCTTCAGAAATTTCTACTTTTAACAAGCAATATGGAGAAACACTATTTCAGGATCATAGCCCCGGACAAAATCTAATTAAGAGATGAAGCCAGGTGGCTTGCGAAACATAGGAGAAATTTTTCTCCCAAGGTGCTAATAGAAATGGTAGTCATCTAATTTCTTTTAATGCCACCAGGCTAAGCCTAAAAAACTTTTTTAAATTAAAGGACATGAAGAAAGAGAAATGGCACGTGGTACCTTGTTAAGACTGTCCCTGGTGTTCAGTTTTCTCTGAGATTGAAATATTCCTGTCCTCTTAGTTTCAAAAATATTTCTTTAGGCATCCTGGAATTTTACTAAGTCTAGATATTACATCAAAATTTTAGATAGTACTATTTTATTTTATGTATGTATTTATTTATTATTTATTTATTCATTTATTTATTTTGAGACGGAGCTTTGCTCTTGTCGCCAAAGCTTGAGCGCAATGGTGCGATCTTGGCTCACTGCAACCTCCGCCTCCCAGGTTCAAGCGTTTCTCCTGCCTCAGCCTACCCAGTAGCTAGGATTACAGGCGACCACCACCATACCTGGCTAATTTTTGTATTTTTAGTAGAAACAGGGTTTCACCATGTTGGCCAGACTGGTCTCGAACTCCTGACCTCAGGTGATCCACCCACCTTGGCCTCCCAAAGTGCTGGGATTACAGGTGTGAGCCACCACGCCTGGCCCTGTTATGAGCATCTTTATCCACACATATTTATGCTCTTATGCAATTATTTCCTTAGAATGAATTCACAGGAAATGGAAATACTGTACTGTGAAATAGATACATATTTTTAAGGCTTTCGATGCATCCTGAAAACATGTATTTAGAAAATTCCTACTGACTTATACTTCTACCAATTGTATACAAGAATGCTGGTTTCCCCCAGGAATTATCAAGTAGTTTTTCTAGCCATTCCAAATCATCCCAAAAGCACCTTCTAGCTGCAAGGCTTCATGTTAGGCACTGCAAGAAATGCGAAGAGGTAGAAGCTATGCAATGTTCTTCATCCGAAGAAAACCACAGCATTGCGGAGAGAAAGCTCATGGAGGAAGTACAGTGCATGGGAGAACAAGGCACACGCTCCATCAGTGGGAGAAATGAGACATGCTACAGACACGCAGAGGGATGAGGGAGGAGCTTTGGCTGATCTGGGAGTGGTCCACGTAGGAGCACAATCACTCAAGCTGGATGTGCTTAATCTAGATGGAGATTGAGCAGCATTCTTGGTGAAGTTATGTACGAAGATGTGTGGACAGAAAATGGCAAAGTATGCCCATGCCATGGTAAAGAAGCCAGTGTGCCTGGAGTATGTGAAACACATAAATCACTCTAAGAGGCAGGATGAGAACTGGATCATGGAAGGCCCTGCACCCCAAGCTGAGGACTTGATAGGTAATGGGTACCCAGAAGCGATTTAGAATCCTGAGAATGATAAAATCAATATTGTGGCATAAATTTGGCAAGACATGTTCAAATAAGGAGAGAGAAAAGGCTAGAAAACCTCTTCAGAGGTGAAAGCCACAGAAAGATGAGGGCAGTGAGAACGGAAACAAAGAGTAGGGAGGAAAACTATTGCCAACCATAGCCAGCCAGGTGAGTGCCTGACTAGTGGTAAGGGTGGAAGACTAAGGGTGAGGAAGGAGCCAGACGACTTTGTGGTTTTGAACCTGAATGATTGGTAAGTGGAGAGAGACAGATGGACTGGCAGACAACAGACAGAGAGAGAGACAGACAGAGGGAAGTCTCAACCTCAGGGAGATGTTTGGGGAGGAAATACTCATAGTTTGTCTAGAGAGAGAGAAGAAAGGGAGGGAGGGTGAGAAGAAGGAGAAAAGAAAAGAAAAAGGAAAGGAAGATGGAAGGAAGGGAGGGAGGGAGGGAGGGAGACAAAACGGAAAACACCCCTTTTTTCAAGCTGATGCTTTCACCCACACTCGTTCACTGGCAAGCAGATTTCACCAAACAGAAAGTGCGGCTGATTTTTATGGTAGGGCAGGGAGGAGGGGCGAGTCAAGTCAGGCCTAGACAAATCAGCTCTGCCAAGCTGAGCAGAATGGTGGTGGCAGGAAGAGGCAAGTGGCAAGGGCAAGCCCTGCCCTGGGAGCCCTGAGGGTGGAAACCGAGGAAATGGAATCATTTCAACAAGTGAAACAGCATCTGGGCCAAATGGAACTGCACCCAACATGCCAAACCCAGGGAGCCAAGAAACGAGGTGGCAAAAGAGGGTGGAGGCAAGCACTGCGACCTCCTCAGACTTGGCTGCCTTGAAGGAGACAGACACCACGTGCCCTTTCTAATTGCGTTTGACAACATGCCCAGGGAATGCCACGGAACTGCCGCAAAACAGGACAAAGAGCCTCTGCTGTTACAGAGGGTGGTGCAGGGGGACACATGGATGCCCTGTGTGTTTTTCAGGGAGAAAGACGTGCGTCACCCTTTGGCTTGAGATGTGAAGCAATTGCTGCCAAATAATTCAGGTGAGATGGGATGTTCATTAATTCAGAAGTTTTTCCAGGACTACGCCACTTGATAAACAGTTTTACCCCCAAAATGGGGCTAAGATTGATGTGGGAAAATTTCTGGAGTAATTCACATAAGAAAAGAGAGGAATGTGTAAAAACATGGTTTTGGTGAACAACGTTAGAAATAAATTGGCCGGGCGAGGTGGCCATGGCCGTAATCCCACCACTTTGGGGAGGCCGAGGCAGGTGGATCACTTGAGGTCAGGAGTTCAAGACCAGCCTGGCCAACATGACAAAACCCCATCTCTACTAAAAATACAAAAATTAGCCAGGCAGGGTGGCACATGCCTGTAATCCCAGCTACTCGGGAGGCTGAGGCAAGAGAATCGCTTGAACCTGGGAGGCAGAGGTTGCGGTGAGCTGAGATCATGCCACTGTACTCTAGCCTGGGCAGCAGAGGGAGACTCCATCTCCAAAAAAAAAAAAAAAGGATATGAATACATGCAATAAATCCCAAAGGACCCAGCATGAGCCCCCATTTGCTCTTCTTGGCTCCTTAGTCTTTAGGTCCTTTACGTACATGGATCTGCTTGTAAATTTCAACTCTCAGTACTAAGCAGGCTCTTTCTTCGCTGGATTTAAGCCTATGAAGCACTAAGCCCATTATGGCCTGAGTATGAATGAATCTACATTCAATACTTTCCTCATCACCTGGAACTTAGGTGAATTTCTTCAAATTAAGAACTTCAACTTTAATTCACCTAAATTGAAGATTTTAGATTATTGAATTTTAACAATCTCTTAAAATTATTGTTTTTTCAGGTGAAGGGAGGGGGGCCAGAAACAAGAAAAATGAAAAAAAAAAATGTACACCAGCTTTTCAAACTTGTGAGCATTTCCTGCCAGAAGTGCCTTGATGTCAACAACGAAAGGAATACAAATTGTGTTGTACCATTTTGGAGAACGGGCAGGATTTTCTGTAACTACATCATTGTATCGTATTTATTGCTAGACATAGTTTATTTGTTTTAATTGAGTCAGAGCCACAGAAAGAACACAAATTCGAAGAATCACCAGACTCGAGGAATGTCAATGATGCTGTGTGCTAATGCAATCCCCAAATCACAGTTCGAATGCATATTCAAGTTTTGCGAACTTGAGTTGGCCCCAGCTGGAGTCTTGACACTTGGTAAGCTCAGTGAAGAAAATTTTATAATCTTAGGGGTTCTAACTTATGAGCTACCCTTTCAGTCAGAGTAAAGCAAGGCCCAGTGCAACAGTCTTCCACAGACCTATGTTATCTCCAAAAACTAAGACTACACTCTTGGGCCAGGCACGGTGGCTCACGCCTATAATTCCAGCACTTTGGGAAGCCAAGGTGGACGGATCACTTGAGATCAGGAGTTCGAGACCAGTCTGGCCAACATGGTGAAACCCCATTTCTACTAAAAATACAAAAATTACCCAGACGTGGTGGTGCGTACCTGTAATCCCAGCTCCTGGGGAGGCTGAGGCAGCAGAATCGTTTGAACCTGGGAGGTGGAGGTTGCAGTGAGTCAAGATCACACCACTGTGCTCCAGCCTGGGTGACAGAGGGAGCCTCTGTCTCAACAACAACAACAACAACACCACAAAAGCCATGGCACTGATGATTTATATAGGGAAAGAATGTAAGGTGAGAGGAGAAGAATCTTTAGATTTGAAGTGTAAAGATGCTTGGTGTTTAAAGATCAGGCAAAAGAGGTCAAACCAGTAAAGGAGAATAAAAAAAATAACAAAGTGATTGGAAACTGCACTCCAGCCTGGCTGATGGACCGAGACTCTATCTCAGTAAATAAATAAATAAATAAATAAATAAATAAATAAATAAAGACTACACTCTTGGACAGGTTTAATCAGACCTGTCTTCCTTGCCCTATCCAGGGTCCTTTCTAAGCCAAGGGGAAGACGGAGGCTTTGTTTCTGAGAGAAAGGCAGGAAACTGTGTCAGGCTCTACACAGATATGAAGTTCTCCATCCCCATCCTCTGTCCCTTTTCCCAACTTTATTGTCCTCACATTTCATACATTTATTTGGTGCTATGTGTTGTGTGTCCCCACTTCTAAACCATGAGGCACATGAAAGCCGCAAGGTTGTCTTGTTTATCCCCAATGACCGCCTCAGGACCTGGCACAGAGTAAGTGTTCAATAAACATCTCTTGGTTGAATGAATAAATGAGTGAGTGAGTGGAAAACATTATTTTTATCCAATAAACTGTGAAGAGATGTAGCAAGAAAGAAAAGTACAACAGTGTGATATATGTCTGGCACTGCTAGGGAAGAAGGTGTCCACATCACAATTGAAGCTTACTCCTTGGAGAAACAAACTTTTTATTTGGAAGCCTTTTTAATCCAAAAAAAAAGTCTAAAATGCTCTAATACTTTGATGGTAACTTCTAGAACAGCAGAGCAAACAGATGTACAAGAAGATTGCAAATAAACAGCCCCAAGACTGAGCATCTGCCGTCTCCTTGACACAAAAATATCTTATGCCAGAGGCCAGGAGGGAGCCCTGAGACCAACTCTAGACTCCATTGTATTTCTAAAGACTGTGTGACCTTGAGTAAGTTTCTTAACTCTCCTGAGCCTCAGTTTCTTTACCCAAGAACAGGCATAAAAATAGAGTTCAGAGCTCATATTCCAATGAGGTACATTGGCAATCTTAGCAGATGATATTAACATACAAATGCTTAAATAATCTAAATATTATTAATGACATGATTACTACCCAAATCTTTGTATTCATCTTTTCTTTCTCATACTGCTAGTGCTTCCGTCCCAATTCTCCTTTGTGCCTCCAGCTGAACTCCACAATGCCCCCCATGACCTTCAGTGGAAACTTTTTTCTGTTGTAAAGCAACTTCTCTGTCCTTCCATCTTCCACTTCTCCATCTCCTGGCTTCATCTGAAATCAGATTTTATGGCAAGAACACTACTTCTCCCTGGGGTCTTCTCAACATGAAGGGGCTCCTCTCTCACTCCTCTCCCACCACAGGGCCAGGAGTGGGTAGAGACCAGTATTCTTGTGCTTCCATGATGGCACTTTCTCATTCCTACACACCTTTCCCATCATCTTCTTTGAAGCATATGGATGTCATTAGACCATCCACTTCCCCTCCCGCTGGCTGTCAGTTAATGGCCTTGATCAGTTCTTCAGCTCAGTGTTCCCTTTCATTCCTGTTGACATCAGTGTGGACCACTTTGTACCCATGTGGCATAATGCCACTTATTCAGTAGCCTTGTCCCCTTGCATAGTAAATTCCAATCCAACCCAGCCTCTATTTCTAAGTAGGGTCAAAGAACATGCTAAATAACACCACAGGAATGCAATTAACAAAACCCACAAGGTGGGAAACCACAGAACAAATGTCTTGGTTTCTCCAAAGCATAAATTTCAAAGGAAAAGGAAAGGAGATGGGGGCTGGTGGTGAGGAGCTCTCAGATTAAAAGCAAAAAAAAAAAAAACAAGCCAAACAAATGAAGTGTGTGGACCTCTTTCGGATCTTCATTTACACCTTCATCTACATCTTTATATCTTCATTTAAAGAAAAGATGGATGCAAATAATGTTTTTTAAAACAATTTTTTTTAAAGCAAGCAAGAAAATTTGAACACTGGACATTGGGTGATATTAGAGAATTAGTGTTGATTTTTAAATCCATGTGAGGGAAATTGTATGTTTTTAAAAGTTCATATATATATATATATATATATATATATATATATATATATATGTACATATATAGAGAGAGGGAGAAGTACTTATAAACAAAATAATTTAATGTCTAGAAATTGCTTCAAAGTAATCCAGGGGGATAGATGGGAAGAAGTGAGTTGGGTGGTGTAGATGTAACAAGATTGGCCATTAGTCAGTTGAATCCAGATGGTGGATACAAGGGGGATTTTTATATGATTCTCTCCACTTTTGTACTTTCCATAATAAAAAGTGGAGGGAAGCAGGGCATGGTGGCTTATGCCTGTAATCCCAGCTCTTTGGGAGGCTGAGGCAGGAGGATGCTTGAGCCCAGGAGTTCAAGACCAGCCTGGGCAACATAGTGAGACCCCAACTCTATATTTTTTTAAAAAAGAGGGAAAAAGTAGAGGGAAAATCAATGGGAATGACTCATCCATCCTGGTAGCCTTCCAGTCATCGCCCTGCTACCCCACCACTTGAGTTGCACACCCACAGTCACACACTTGGACTTTGGCCCCTGGAGCTGCTCCAGCCCCTCCAGCCCTCCCATTCTCCTGCTCTTTGACCACATTGAGGCCTTTTATCTGAGGGCCTCCCCATACTCTCTCAGTGTCTCAGATACCTTTGGACCTCATCTCCTGTCTCTGGTCTAGACTGCATGGTTCAGCACTTTAACCCCTCTCTGAACCTCTGTCATTGACTCTTGCCCTCTTGTCCTTGCACTGTGCCTAGATGCAAAGCCTGACCCTAAACTAGTCCAACTAGTCACCACTGTCTATTCTTACACCCAAACTGCAGCAGGCCACCTGGTGTGTGCCAATGGAAATCACAGCAGCTTAGTTATCTCCGACTTCAGTGAACCCCAACACTGTGGAACAACCTTGAGTGTACCCCTGTGTCCTCTACTGACTATCTCAAAGCTTCTCCATTCATGTCAAAGCTCACTCATCACTCTCAAAAGGTGACTAGTCTTTCACCAAGAAAAGCAAGACCACCATATTCAAAGTCTGTCAACTTCCTCCATCCCAAATTGCAAAATTCTCCCCACCTACTCCTGCTCTTTCTTGAGTGAATTTTGTTCCGAAGGAAGAGATGACTCAGCTGAACTGTGTTCTGGAAACCCGCCTTTTGAGAGAAGTTGAGGTACCATTTGTTACTCTTCCAGAATCTTCAACTCTTTATAATATCTTCAATCTCTCTCTCATTCTCTCTCTCTCTCTCTCTTCTCCCTGACTCTTTCAATACTTTTCCATCTAAAGATAAAAGGCTCCCCTTCTAGCTTTTATTTCCTCTTACCTTCATTGCCAAACTACTTGTCACCATTCATTCTTCAACCCACTGTCATTGGGATTCTCTCTCCTACACTACCTCACTGAATACTCTTACAGTTACCAATGACCTACAGATTGCCAGGGGCAAGACATTATTCCATCCTTATCTTACTTACCTCTTAAGATGACACTAATGGAAAGCACCAGGGAGGCACCGAAGAACTTGGAGACAACTCTGAGAATACAGCAAGTCAAATCCACACATAGGGCCTATGGCTATGGCCAGACATCAGCAGTCTTACACAAGAGACTTTTGGAAAATATATGACCAAAAGCCTCAGAATCATTCAGATGGTTAGAGTGTATTTAGGAGACAGGACTAGACTCTTACATAAACTAGCAGTGGTTCTCAAGAAGACTGTACAAACAGAAAGGGCTACTTAGCCCAGGGGAGAGCAAAGGCATCCTGTGGGGTCACCTCAGAGAGTCAAGGGGCTTGATGAAAGTTTAAAGGAGACCTTCACCGTATCACTATTGCTTGAACCTAAGAATGAGAGTGAATTCATGTACTATACATGCCATTAAAAATAAGTTCAGAGACAGAAGATTCTAGTAAAAGAAGTCAAAAACCAAAAAGTAAATGCTGGATAGTTCCATATATATGAAATCAAGAAAAGGCAAATTAATCTATTGTGAAACAGATCAGAACAGCTGCTACCCCTGGGTTCTACAAATGGAGGGGAACATGAGAGCTCCTTCCCCTGCTGTGTTGAAAACATTTACTGTCTTGAAGGAGGCAGGGTTGTTTCACAGGTAGGTGCATATGCAAAAATTTATTAAGCTGCACAATTAGGATTTGTGTATCTGGGCCAGGTGAGGGGGCTCACACCTGTAGTGCCAACACTTTGGGAGGCCGAGTTGGGCAGATCATGAGGTCAGGAGTTCGAGACCGGCCTGACCAACATGGAGAAACCCTGTCTCTACTAAAAATACAAAAGTTAGCCAGGTGTGGTGGTGGACGCCTGTAATCCCAGCTACTCAGGAAGCTGAGGCAGGAGAATTGCTTAAACCCAGGAGGCAGAAGGTGCAGTGCAGTGAGCCGAGATCATGCCACTGCACTTCAGCCGGGGTGACAGAGCAAGACTCCATCTCAAAAAAAAAAAAAAAAAAAAAAAAAAAGATTTGTGTATCTTACTGCATATAAATTATACTTCAATTAAAAAGTAAATAGGCTTTTTTTCCAAAATGAAAAAAAAAAAAGAGAGAGAGAGAGAGCTGTGAATTGGGAGTGGCATCCCTAATCTAAGATCATATTTAATCCAGTGAAAACTAGAGCATTAAATATTCAAATTACATAGCTGAGGCCCTGCTCTCTGATCCCAGCCTTAACAAACCAGCTTTGTGATTCCAATTTGACTGCTCAGGTAGCTTGCTTCCCTAATCTAGCCATGTGCTTGTGTCCGCATACTTGACGCTTGGATGCTTTCGTTGTTGATTAATAAATTGGCATTCCAGCCTGGAGATTTCAGTCTTCAGAAACTCACTTAATACTTATTAGTAGTCCTGGCCTCAAAAGATTCAGACAGCTTCAGAGTGCTAACAAAATTTTCTCCTTTCCTGACTCTACAAGCCTTACCTGCTGAGGCCTTCCAGCAATGAGACAAATCTGCTGCCCCCTGAAAATGCCTTGCTTTGACTGTGCTGTTCCAACAGTGACTGATGGGGAGGAGAGAAGGGGTGTCTGGGATAAGTCCCAGGCTTCACAATCCCACCTCTTCTGCCTTTTTTTTTTTTTTTTTTTTTTTGCCGTGGCTGTGACTGAAGTTCACCATTTCTCAGCCTCCTCATTGCAGCTGTCTCTGGTACCTCTGCTTTCCATCCACCCCACCTCCCTTTCCTCTGCCGTGCAGAGACAACATGTATTTTGACCTTTACAGTGGTTTCCCAAGGGCTCCATGGTCAAGCCCAAACCACCACACGTAGTTGAGATAACAGTTTAACTTAATCTGCAGCTACTCCACCCCTGCCCCACTTGCATATACTCCTCTTCATCCGGTATTGCTCAAGGGTGGCGCGATTGGCGTTTGGGGTGGGACAATTCTTCATTGTGCAGAACCATCCGTTGCATTCTAGTGAGTTTAGCAACCCTGGCTCCTACCCTCTGAATGCTTGTTGTACTCACCCTCAGACATTGTGACAACTACACATGCCCGCAGATATTTCCAAACACTTCCTGCTGTCCCTTTTCCAACTAGCTACTTCCTACTGATTCTTCATACCACAAGTATTGGGCTGAATCTTGTGAAATTGTCATCTTCTCAGGTCAATGACATCAAATATTGGCTACTTAATGTGATTCAACTGCATAGTACTTCTTCTGGAAGCCCTCACGAATGATGCCCAATGATTTCATTATTAAAGTGCTTACCACCAAGTGTTGTAAGAGCTGCTTTACTCATTCCTGCCTCTCGCCACATTGCTCAGCCTTAAATATCTAGCAGCAAGTTATTAAGTTTTAAGTCACTTCTTCTCTCTAGCACTTGGCACGGTGCCCAGCACATACTGAACCTATGTGTGATGATGAATCAACACACAGGATGTTGAGCATACTTTCCCTGATGATTCAATGTTGCTGTTCCTGAGGATGCAGACGCCCTTGGGGACTATTGAGCCACTTACTCTTTTTTGGCTCCACATCAAGTGACCCACCACTGCCCTACTTTATGGGTTTATGTGTCTTGATTTTGCATCATATCATCAGCATGCCTGCCTCCAGTGATCCTGTGTGTCCTTTGGAATCCGAGGCACTCTGTGAACCTTGATGCATGAATGTAGTGATAGTAACTACTGGTTCAGAGTCTTTTCATCCTGATTGCTGGGCTCTTACCAGGTTTCACACGTCTGGGGGCTCCCCGCTGGTTAGCAAGGCAGCCACTAAGAACTCTCTGAATAGTCATTTTCCTTTCGGAAACTGCTTAAAGATGACTCGGGAGGACTTTTAAATGGAGAAATGTTCGTATGCTGAGATCCTGGCTGGTGACAGAAGGATGGAAGAAGTGATGCCTGAAGGTATATTCTAAATGGTTGTTGTGTCCCTGTAGTCAAAAGGTGTGTGGGCATGGTTTCTTATTTTAAACAGTTTTCTTAAATCAATAAACATTGGGTTATGAATCTCAGATATAGGATCTTTTTCAACTTTTAATCTGGACGACTTTGAATTAAAGAAAAAAAAGAACAACTGTTCCATTATAATTCATGTAAAATCAAGTCCAGGGCCATGAGGGGCCGAGATAAAGGGAACAACTAGAAGTAAGTGGAGGATATAATTTCTCAGAAAATTCTTATATTTTCTGTGCCTGGAAATGGTTTCAATACACATCATAAAAATGATATAAAACTCAATCAACAGAAGAACTTTTTGTTTCTTTATTTTCAATATTTGTCTTATTAATATTTTTCTTATTTTATAATGCAATTACAACAATTTAGGAGACAAAACAATATAAACAAAAGAATGTTAAATAGTTTTTTTTAAAAAATAGCTTGTTGCTTGCAAGAAAGTCCATATAATCTTATTCCCCCCCAAATATAATTTTATACTTTGCACTAAACCAAAATAGCTTATGGAAAATTAGTATTAAATAGCTAAACACAGAAAACCTACAGCTATAAATAACATAAAATACAGTTTAACTTTAATGTGATGCTTAAACAAAGCAAACTATGATGCAATATGAATCAACTTCATTAATTGGACAAGTCCAGTGAGGCACAAATTAGATAAGCACTAAACCCTCCATGATGTGCAAGTGAAACCTCCAACCCCAGCAAGGTTCTTTCTGTTCTTGGGCTATGTCCAATTCCATTCCAGAAAAGCCACAGTTTTTACATGTTCTTGACTTTTTTACTGTAAAATGAAAAAGAAGAAAAGTGTAAGTAATGACAAGGTGACTGCATGGTGGGAATGACTTTGGTACCTAAAGGTTGCTTCACCTGCCCTTAATCTCAACTCAGTATGTCAAGCAGCTCAGAGTTCAGATGAGGAAATTGAGGTTTAGAGAGGATGGCCCTTGCCCAACCTAACTCAGCTCATTAATGACAGAAACAGGCTATGGACACTTATCTTGTGTCTCCAAGTTCAGTATCTATGGCATGCTGGTGTTAGGTGCCTTCTGTCCATTGATAAAGTGTTACTGTCTATTATTGTCAACGTAAATCAGAACCATTGATCTCTGTTTAACTAATGTTCATTTTTCAGTTTTTAACAAACAACCAAATGCCAGATTGCCTTTAAATTATATAAATAGTAGGCATCTTTGCAACAAGAATCAGGCAGCTAGTAACTATCAAATGCATAGAGAAATCTAATACATCATGTAAGAAATCACTAAATTAAAATAATAATAACGATGATGATCTGTAAGTGGAAAAATGCATTCTTTGTTTTTGTGGTCCAACTCAAATTTTCCCTTTAAAAATTCCACAATAGTTAAACTAAAGAATCCCAGAAAACCTACGGCCCACCCCTTTGCACACTCCTCTTTCCTCAAACATTTGCAAAGGCTAAATGTCAGTGTAACATACCTGAGGAGACGCACAATATATTTCACCCAAGTCTGTTTTGGATTTGCGCACACAGACAACTTTTTCTTTGTGTGAAAGCTGAAAAATCAGAAAATTTGATTTGTGTTTAATGAGCTTTTCAATGGGTTTTTCATAGAACATACAATGGAAATTTTATATTCCAGTTGATTACACACTAAACATTTCAGTTGATGAGGTAAAATAAAATGCACAAAAAATGCTTCTGATGAAGATTAATGCAAAATCAAAGTGATTCTCTCTTTCTCTGCAATGTAACAAATAATAGTACAATGGCAGGAAGATAAAGTCCCAGAATTGTCATATAATTTTGCTATTGGTGGTTACATAGAATATGTATGTATCTGATCAATAACTTGTATAATTCCAAAATATAATATCCTATATAAATCAAGAAAATTATATGTGATAGTATAATTAGTCTGAGATTTTACTTTTGGTCTCAAACACTTTCTGGTAGAAGATGCTCATTTCGAAATGTGTATCTTCCCTATTTTCCTAATATATCACTTTAATAGCCTTAGAAAGTGATTTTTGCCCTATACTAGTTCCGTTTGACCAAAAAAAATTTTTAAAAAAGGTTTTGCCTTATTCCAGTCCTGTTTAAAGTGAACTTTAAAGTAGATATGTACTAAGACAAAGCTATCTTTGCCACATCATTTCTTTCTCTTTAAAATAAGATCTTATGTTCAAAACATCAGTAATTTCTGAATGAAACTCTAAAAAGGCAAACATTTTTAAAACTGAAGTTTCTAGGTATTCCTGATACAACTGAATTAAAATCAATTAATAACTTACATGATAGCATTGATGTCACAGCCTTCATTGGCCAGCTGCCGTGTGAAGCCCACAATAAATTTAGGATGAAGAATACGGTCTGTGTATCCAAGACAGCAGTCAAAGTTGCTTGCTGCTAAAAAAAAAAAAAAGTGAAAGGTATTGGATCCACATGAATAAACTTATCCTGTGATTGGTATTATAAAACTACCTTAAGTTGTGAAAAATCTAGTGAATCTCATGTATATGACGAATAAACCACTTAGAGGAGGAGTTTCAATGTCTTGGAAACCTTTGTAAGGTCGTTGAGAACCAATCTAACATAGTTTACAGTTCTTTGAAAAAACAGTTTGTGTGCCGAGAAGTTTTGGTTCAATAATAGAATTGAGAAACACAGGACTTCTCATAAGTGGGATATCTTCAGTAAGAAATACAAATTGACAATATTTCATTTCAGTTCACTATAATCATTCAAGAATATGAGCAGCCCCTTCCCTACTGCTTGAAGGAACCCTTATGTAGATAAACTTCCAAAAGCAGAAAATGAATAAATTGGCAGATTTTAATCTATTATCTGGCTACTAAGTATTGAGAAATAGAGCTACAAAGGGAAATATGATTTATAGGAGTGAAAACACTTTGAAATTGTCCTATTAATTAATAGGAATGTTTAATTTTGTTCATAAAAGTTCAACATGTGGTTGGGCATGGTGGCTCATGCCTGTAATCCCAGCACTTTGGGAGGCCAAGGAGGAAGGATTGCTTGCCTCCAGGAGTTCGAGACCAGCCTGGGCAACACAGTGAAACCCTGTCTCTACAAAAAAAAAAAAAATGTAAAAAAATTAGCCAGGTGAGTGGCACACGGCCGTGGTCCCTGTTATTCAAGAGGCTGAGACTGGAGGTTCACTTGACTCCAGGAGGTTGAGGCTGTAGTGAGCTGTAATCATGCCACTGCACTCTGGCCTGGGTGATGAAGTTAGACCCTGCCTCAGAAAAAAAAAAAAATTCAATGTGCATTTTTAGGAATGCACCTGTTGCTAAAAGTGTTGTGTGACTATTGAGCAATAAAGCAATACTTGGACATTCCCGAGTCAGATTACAACATGCTGTAAGGTAAGGGATTAATGTTATTTTAAAGTTGGCAAGCAATGTCCCCCATGCCTTGTGGGGATGTTGATGTCAGGTATTATAATCTACTTCTAAAGGATGAGTTTTGAACTTTACCAAAACTATTAAGTTGGGAGGTACGAAAGTTGGGGACACAGGAGGATTCTCTACATTTCAAAATGGCCCCATCTACTGGTAACATTACACACTTTATATCACTCCCAGAAACATCACTTTGGCTTTATCCTGAAGTTTAGGGATCTCTAAGAGCCCACCACTCCCCAAATCTGCTGAGATTGACAGCAGAGAGGAAAGCCTGATCCGCAGCAGTAACTCTTCTCTCCTCCACTCCACCATGGGCAGACAACTTCCATCACTACCTCTTGTATACTTCCTAACAGTTTTCCATCCCTTAGGGACCCCCAGTTGAGCTCAAGGCTAAAAGGAAAATGAAAATAGTCTTTCTTCTGTGCTAGCGGAAAGAGCGACACTTACCTTCTGATTCGCCGCAGAGGTGGAGTAGCAGCACTGACATCAAAGCAGCCAGGAGCAAACTCTTGGTACAGCACATGGTTTTTAGCTCAAAGAACAGATCTGCTCAGTGTTGAGTACCCAGTTCTTTGGGAGTGCTGTTATATTCTGACAGCAGCCTGGGATGGCCCTATTTATAGCAAATATTGGGAATGTACACAGAAGGCGTGTTGCCACATGGGGTTTTCCCCATTGATCAACTGGCCCCATCATGTCATCATAAAAAAAACCCGCAAGGAAAACTTCCTGCTTTTTCCTCATATTGGGAAGGTGCGAAGGTCAGGGTGGGGGACAGGAAGTTGAGAAGGGGAGAATCCTGTTAAATTCTTTGTATTTGCAAAGAGCAAAAGCAGCTCAGCCCTGTGACCCAGAAAAGACTTTCATCCAGTTTTAACTTAATCATTTTTGTGTCTGAAAATAGAGGATTAACAGCGATACAAAGGTCAGCCCCACACAGGAACATTCCAGAACTCCTATTGTTACACCCTATTTGCTTTCCAGAACCAGTCAAGGAGGAGGGGGAGGAGGAGCAGGTGGGATGCCAGGCATACTCTGCTACACATTTACCATCACATGGTTGAGGTTCAGCTGTCATGAAGAAGACCCTGAGTTGCTAGACTAACATTCAGAGCAGGTACTATAACAGTGCTACAGTACTGTCCGCAGTTAGAGTGGAAAATATCAGCCTTTAAGTAAGGCTCAAACCTCAGCTTCACCTTGATTTAATGTCAACTCTTCTAAGAATCTTATACATTCACATGGCTTTAATCAATATTGCAGTTCAGAAAATAATCCTTACCTACCTTTAACTCTCCATGATGATGTACTAATATAACTCAATATAGAGCCTCAGAATTGTTGAGGAAAGAAAACCTATCAGCAGTAGCTAGTCAGCACAGCAAATGTCAAATAACAGTACTAATGATGATAATGTAATATGAATCCCTAACCTAAGGCAGTATAAGAACTCTCCACTAGACCCAAATAGGTTGAAAGTAAAAGGATCAAAAGAAAGGTATACCAAACAGTAAACAAAAGAGAACTGGAGTTGGTGATGCCTATATCAGACAAAATAGATTTTTTTTTAATGTTACCGGAAATAAAAAGGGACTTTCATGGTAACACAAAATTAACCCATTGGGAAGATGTAAAACCTATAACCATATATATACCTAACAGTAGCACCCCAAACTACAGAAAGCAAAAACTGACAGAATTGAAGGGAAGAATAGGAAATTTTATTTTATTTTATTATTATAATTTCTTTTGAGACAGAATTTTGCTCTTGTTGCCCAGGCTGGAGTGCAGTGGCACCATCTCGGCTCACTACAACCTCCGCCTCCTGGGTTCAAGCGATTCGCCTGCCTCAGCCTCCTGAGTAGCTGGGACTACAGGCACGTGCCACCACGCCCAGCGAATTTTTGTATTTTTAGTAGAGACGTGGTTTCACCATGTTGCCCAGGCTGAACTCCTGACCTCATTACAGGCATGAGCCACCGTGCCCAGCAGAATAGGAAATTTAACAATAAAAGTTGACAGCTTTGGTACCACATTTTCACTAATTAATAAAATTTAGGCAGAAGATCCACAAGAAAATAGAAGACTTGAACAACACTATAAGCCAAATAGACTTAGCAGGCATCGAAGGACTACTCTATCCAACATCAACAGAATAGTTGCACATGGAATGTTCTCTAGGATAAAGCATATGGTAGGTTATGGAACAAGTCTCAGTAAATGTAAACCGACTGAAATCACATAAAGTATACATTCAAACCACAATGGAATTAAATCAGAAATCAGTAACAGACAGAAAGGAAACCACATATTCCTAAATAACCAATGTGTCTGGCCAGGAGTGGTGGCTCATGCCTGTAATCCTAGCATTTTGGGAGGCCGAGGTGGGTGGACTGCCTGAGGTCAGGAGTTCGAGACCAGACTGGCCAACATAGTGAAACCCTGTCTCTACTAAAAATACAAATATTAGCCGGGTGTGGTAGTCCATGCCTGTAATCCCAGCTACTTGGGAGGCTGAGGCAGGAGAATCGCATGAGCCCAGGAAGCAGAAGTTACGGCGAGCCGAGATCACGCTACTGCCCTCTAACCTGGCCAACAGAGACTCCATCTCAAAGGAAAAAACAACAACAACAACAACAATGTGTCAAAAGAAAAGTCACTAGAGAAAGTAGAAAACAACTTTGAAATGTAAAAAAAAGTCCACAACATATCAAAACTTATAGGATGTAGCAAAAGCAGTCCTCAGAAGGAAACTTATAGCTGTAAACACTCACATTAAAAAAAAAAAAAAAGAAACATCTCAAAACAATAACCCAAACTTCTACCTTAAGAAACTAGAGAAAAGCAGAGCAAGCTAAACCCAAAGCATGCAGAAGGAGGGAAATGAAGATTAGAGCAGGAATAAATAAAACAGAGAATGCAAAACAATAGAGGAAATCAACGAATGCGAAAGTTAGTTCTTTGAGAAGATCAACAAAACTAACAAGCCTTGACTAGACCAAACCAAACAAAGGAAAGGGAGGTAAAAAAAAAAAAAAAAAAAAAAAAACTGTATGCAAATAAAATTACTATGCCGACAGCACAGTAAAAAGATCATACACCATAACCAAGTGGGATTTATTCCAGGAAATGTAATACAACAAATCAATCAAATAAAAAATAAAAATGATTTGAAAAGCAACTGACAAAATCCAACACGTTGTCATGACAAAAACACTCAACTAACTAGGAATAGTTGAGAACTTTCTCAACCTGATAAAAGTCATCTATGACCACCTCACAGCTGATACGAATAGAGATGAAAGACACAAATTATTGACCCTGATTCAAGAAGAAAATAGAAAATTTGGGATGGGCGTGGTGGCTCATGCCTGTAATCCCAGCACTTTGGGAGGCCAAGGCGGAAGGAGCACAAGGTCAGGAGATCGAGACCATCCTGGCTAACATGGTGAAACCCTGTCTCTACTAAAAATGCAAAAAATTAGCCTGGTGTGGTAGCGGGCACCTGTGATCCCAGCTACTAGGGAGGCTGAGGCAGGAGAATGGCGTGAACCCGGGAGGTAGAGGTTGCAGTGAACCAAGATCGTGTCATTGTACTCCAGCCTGGGCGACACAGCAAGACTCCATCTCAAAAAAAAAATAGAAAATTTGAATAGAGCTATAACAAGTAAAGATATCAAATTGATAACCAAATATTTTTCACAAATAAAACCTCAGGACCAGATTAATTCACTGGTTAATTCTACAAAACATTCAAATAAGAATTAATACCAGTTCTTCACAAACTTTTTCAAAGTATAGAAGAGAAGGGAACCCTCTTCAACTTCTTCTATGAGGACAGTATTATCCTGACACCAAAATAAGATAAACACATCACAAGAAAAGAAAACAACAGACCAATGTCCTTTCCGAATACAAACACAAAAACAAAACAACATAGTAAAAGGACCATACACCATAACAAGTGGGATTTATTCCAGGAAATGTAATACTACAAATTAATTGAATAAAAATAAAAACTATATGAAAAGTAACTAACAAAATCCAGCACCTTCTCATGACAAAACACTCAACAAACTAGGAATAGCAGAGAACATCTCAACCTGATAAAGGTCATCTATGACTGCCTCATAGCTGATAGCACACTCAATGTTGAAAGACTTACTGCCTTTTCCCTGAGATCAAGGACAAGACAAGGATGTTCAGTCTCACCGCTTCTATTCAACACAATTTCTTTTCTTTTCCTCTCTCTCTCTCTCTTTTTTGAGATGGAGTTTCACTCTTGTTGCCCGGGCTGGAGTGCAATGGCGCAATCTCGGCTCACTGCAACCTCTGCCTCCCAGGTTCAGCCAATTCTCCTGCCTCAGCCTCCCAAGTAGTTGGAACTACAATCATGCACCATCACACCTTGCTAATTTTGTATTTTTAGTAGAGACAGGGTGTCGCCATGTTGGCCAGTCTGGTCTTGAACTCCTGACCTCAGGTGCTCCGCCCACCTCAGACTCCTAAAGTGTTGAGATTACAGGTGTGAGCCACCATGCCCGGCCTATTTAACACAATTTCTATTAAAATCCTGGCTGGCTTCTTTGTAGAAATGGAAAAGCCAATACTCAAATTCATGTGAAATTGCAAGGGACCTTGAATTGATAAAACAATCCCAAAAAGGAAGAATAAAGTTGGAAGACTCACACTTTCTGATTTCAAAATTTACTAAAAAATCACACTAAATCAAGACATGTGAAAATTGCATGAGTGTTCACATCAATGGCATACAATTGAGAAATAAGCCCCCATGTCTATGGTCAACTGATTTTGTGTTAGGGTGGCAAGACCATTCAATGGGGGAAGAACAGTCTTTTCAACAAATAGTGCTGGAACTACTGGATATTCACAGCAAAAGAATAAAGTTAGACCATTACTTCACACTATATATAAAAATTAATTCAAAATGGATCATAGATCTCAATGTAAGAGTTAAAAACATGAAATTCTTAGAAGAAAACATAGGAGAAAATCTTCATGACCTTGGGTTGGGCAATGACTTGTTAGATACAACACCAAAAGCTCAAACAATAAAATTAAAAATTAACGAACTGGACCAAATCAAAACTAAACATTTTTATGCTTCAAAGGACACTATAAAGAATGTGAAAAGAAAACGCATAGAAAGGAAAGGAAAAATTTGCAAGTCATATATATGATAAGGGACATTTACTTGTATAGAGAATATATAAAGAACTCTTACAACTCAATAAGAAGAAGATGAGTGACCCAATTAAAAAATGAGGAAAACAGCTGAATAGACATTTCTCCTAAGAAGATAAATAAATGTCCAACAAGCACATAAAAAGATGCTCAAAATTTTTAGTAAGTAGGAAAATGCAAATCAAAACCACCATGACATACCACTTCACATCCACTAGGATAGCTATAACCAAAAAGACAAATAATAAGTGTTGGCAATGATGTAGAGAAATTGGAATCCTTATATGTTGTTGATGGAAATAAAAAAATGGTGCAGTCATTTTGGAAGACACTTTGACAATTCCTCAAATAGTTAATTAGAGAGTTACCATGTGACCCAGCAATTCTACTCCCAGGTTTACACCCAACAGAAATGAAAATATATGTCCACACAAAAATGTGTACGTGAATGTTTGTAGCAGCATTATTCATAATAGCCAAAAAAGTAGAAGCAGCCCAAAAGTTATAAACTGATATATAAATAAATTAAACCTGGCAAATCAATACAACGAAATATTATTCAGCAATAAGATACTGATAGAAACTACAAAATGAAGCTGGGCATGGTGGCTCACACCTGTAATCCCAGCACTTTGGGAGGCCAAGGAAGACGGATCACTTGAGGTCAGGAGTTTGAGACCAGCCTGGCCAACATGACAGAACCCCATCTCTACTAAAAATACAAAAATTAGCCAGGAGTGGTGGCTTGCACCTGTAATCTCAGCTACTTGGGAAGCTGAGGCAGGAGAATTGCTTGAACCTGGGAGGTGAAGGTTGCAGTGAGCCAAGATCGTGCCACTGTACTCCAGCCTGGGTGACAGAGTGGGACTCTTTCTCCAAAAGAAAAAAGAAACTACAAAACGGATGAACCTTGAAAACACTATGCTAAGTGGAAAAGCCAAGCACAAAAGACCACATATTGTCTGATTCCATTTACATAAAATGTTCAGAAATGGTGAATCTATGGAGAGGAGAAGTAGAATAGTGACTGCCTAGGGCTGGGTTGTGGTGTCCAGGGAAGGGAAGGGGATTGGGGAGTGACTGCTAAGGGGTATGTGGTTTGTTTTTTATTTTTTATTTATAAATACATATGGTTGATGGTTGCACAACCCTATAAATATACTAAAAACACACTGAATTGTTTACATAAAAAGGGTCATTTTATGGTAGGTCAATTATATCTCAATAAAGCTGATAACAAAACAAAACAAAAAAGGAACTCTCCATGTACCTACATCTTAACACGCACCCCAGCCCATGGATGCTTTTTCTTTCTTTACGACTACTCTTGGTTCCCTATAGTCTGTGTTCATTTCTCCTTCCTCCATTCCTGTTGTCTCTTCTCCTCCCTCTCTCTCATGTCTTAATCACAGATCTCTTTTCTTCTCCATTTAATAGCCATAAATAAACTATTTTTAGTATCTTTATATTGACTAGAATTGCATTTCCTTGTGCTTATTTTGATCGATGTACCATTTCATATTTGTCCCTTTAAAACTTTCTAAAATGTGGGTGGGTGCGGTGGCTCATGCCTCTAATCCCAGCACTTTGGCAGGTCGAGGCAGGCGGATCCCTAGAGCTCAAGAGTTTGAGACCAGCCTGGGCAACATGGCAAAACCCTTTCTCTACAAAAATTAGCCAGGCCTGGTGGCACACGCCTTTTGTTTCTGGCTACTTGGGAGGCTGAAGTGGGAGGACTGCTCTAGCTTGGGAGATAGAGGTTGCAGTGAGCCATGATAACACCACTGAACTCTAGTCTGGGTGGCAGAGTGAAACCCCATCTCAAAAAATAATAATAATAATTTTTTAAAAAACTTTCTAAAATGTGACTTAAATTGTTTGGGAGGTTTTTTGGTCAGTCAATAAATGTGTTAAATGAGATTAACATTACAAAATTATTTCAAACCTAATTTATTAGAATGCTATTTATTGCACTGGAATTTATTATTCAGCGATTCTTTTGAAATATCTCAGATACATCCTAATGAGTACTAATTCCTGCGTGTAGCAGAGTCACAGTGTCTTAGACTTTTTTTTTTTTCAGAAAAGATATGACAAGGGTCTTATGTGGAAGCTACTTAATACTAGAACATAGTATCTTTTTTTTTTTTTTTTTTTTGAGACGGAGTCTTGCTCTGTCGCCTAGGCTGGAATGCAGTGGTGCGATCTCAGCTTATTGCAACTTCCTCCCAGGTTCAAGCGATTCTCCTGTCTCAGCCTCCTGAGTAGCTGGGATTACAGGCGCCTGCCACCATGCCTGGCTAATTTTTGTATTTTTAGTAGAGACGAGGTTTCACCATGTTGGCCAGGCTGGTCTTGAACTCCTAAACTCAAGCTATCCACCCGTCTTGGCCTCCCAAAGTGCTGGGATTACAGGCATGAGCCACCACACCTGGCCGAGAACATGATATCTTAATTCAAGTGAAATTATAGTTAAAACACACACAAATATCTGTAAAACAAAGCAGTACGGGGTACAGGCCGTATTCATTTTACATAAATCATTATCATAGAAATAATTACAATTATATGTAAACACAGTCTTATTGTGGAAGCATGAAAACTGTTTTTTATAATTAATGGTAAAGCTCATGTTTCTCCACTAAAAATACAACATTTACCGGGTGTGGTGGCGCATGCCTATAATCCCAGCTACTAGGGAGGCTGAGGCAGGAGAATCACTTGAACCTGGGAGGCAGAGGTTGCGGTGAGCCGAGATCATGCCATTGCACTCCAGCCTGGGCAACAAGAGCGAATCTGTCTTGAAAAAAAAAAAAAAAAAAAGAGGAAAAGAAAGAAAGATGAAGACACTGAAGCCAGAGAGACATTGGACTTTGCCAGTGTCAAACTATAAAGACTGAAGCTGGAAATAGAAATCAGACCCCCCTTCCCTAGGTCAATATAATCTTCCTCATTTCCTCCTCAAAGTTGATATCAATTATCAAATGGATCATAGTACATACCATTAGCCCACACTTTAGTTTCTTTCAGACAGTAATAGAAGCCATAGTAAGGAAGGAGACCACTATTACTCCTGCTGCCCTCTTTTCCTCACCTTGCCTAGTTCACAAGACAGGAGGAAAGTGAGAAAGCAAAAAGTGGGAAAGAAACAGAAGTAAGATAAATAGCCAGACAACCTTGGCACCACCACCCGGCCCTAGGAGTTAAAAAAAAAAGTAATAATAATGACATCAACTCCTGACCTAAACTACTTGTGTTACCTGTAAATTCCAGGCACTGTATGAAAAAGCATTGCAAAACTTCCTGTTCAGTTAGCTGATGAATGTAGCCCCCAGTCACGTTCCCCGCGCTTGCTCGATTTATCACGACCCTTTCACGTGGTCCCCTTAAAGTTGTAAGCCTTTAAAAAGGCCAAGAATTTCTTTTTCGGGGAGCTCGGCTCTTAAAGACGCGAGTCTGCTGACGCTCCGGGCCGAATAAACCACTTCCTTCTTTAATCCGGTGTCTGAGGAGTTTCGTCTGTGGCTCATCCTGCTACAATAGTTTCCATACAGGCTTCATCATATACTGAGGTATTACAGAGCTTCACTAAAAAAAAAGAATAAACCACAACTTTAATGGAGGCTAGCACCACTACAAATTCCACAGTGACTCCTTAAAACAAATCAAGCATCTTGTTTCTCAGCATCTTAGCTTGGGTTCCCTTGAAAGTAGAGCCTCAGATGCAGATAATTTATTTGTGAGTTACTCTCAGAAGCCAGGAACAGGCGGGCAAATGGAGGGAGGAAAGGTTTGGAAGGTCATTCGTGGGCAATGGGAAATTGATTCCACTAGAACCTCCTGAGAAAGAAGCAAATGTCTTCCAGAATTCTCCACTTGAAGGAGAAGAGAGATTATTCATCAGCTGGCTCACATTTCTCATTCGTTGAAGATGGTCCCCAGGACACTGATCCTTCTCTATTTTTAAGCTGTGCTTAGAGGAGGGGAGAGGCCCAACATCCCCTCAGTTCAGAGAATGCCCCAGAGCAGAAAGCAGGCAGAGCAGGCTTCAGTGAGTCATCGTCAGTGCCAGGTGGTCTGAGCTCACTGGAAACTGTACACTACAGCTGGGGCTGAAATTGAAGAGGGGATTGAAAGCATGGTATATGGGGTTCCAGAGATATCTGCTACACACAGCGTATGAATGCTTAATTTTAGGTAGGTGTATTTGTCTGCTCTCATACTGCTAATAAAGACATACCCGAGACTGGGTAATGTATAAAGGAAAGTGGTTTAGTGGACTGACAGTTCCACGTAGCTAGGGAGGCCTCACAATCATGGCAGAAGGCAAAGGAAAAGCAAAGGCACGTCTTACGTGGAGGCAGGCAAGAGAGCGTGTGCAGGAGAACTCCCCTTTATAAAACCACTAGATTTCATGAGACTTATTCACTATCATGAGAGAGACCGACCCCCATGATTCAATTACCTCCAAGCAGTTCCCTCCCACAACACGTGGGAATTATGGGAGCTACAATTCAAGATGAGATTTGGGTGGGGGAACAGCCAAACCATATTAGTAGGCAATTAAGAAAATCACCATCACACATGCCAAGGCCAGATGACTCCTTCATAGACCCCAAGAGGACAACTCAATTCTTTGGTTTTGTAAAAAGTCTTCCCCAGAACACATGGCATATCCACAGGCCTTGGTTTTGTGTGTGTGTAGCCCATGTATTCCGAGTCTAAAGCTTTGGTCCATAAAGTCATTATGTTGCAAGCCTCTATGGTTGTATTGAGGAATGCTTATATACTGGATCCAGGAAAACCAAGGCCTACTGGTTCTGAGATTCACGCAGAGGGCTGAAATAATTTTCATCAGCTAAAGGGAAAGTCAAGAGAAGGGTAGCCCAAGGGGGTCACTCTGACCTGCAGCGAGAGCCAGAGCCAAGGCACTGGAGGTCAGTGCAAGCCTTACGAGTGAGACATCTTTTTTTTTTTTTTTTTTTTTTGAGATAGAGTCTTGCTCTGTCGCCCAGGCTGGAGAGCAGTGGCGCAATCTTGGCTCACTGCAAGCTCCGTCTCCCAGGTTCACGCCATTCTCCTGCCTCAGTCTTCCAGGTAGCTGGGACTGCAGGCGCCCGCCACCATGCCTGGCTAATTTTTTGTATTTTTAGTAGAGACGGGGTTTCACCATGTTAGCCAGGATGGTCTCGATCTCCTGACCTCGTGATCCGCCTGCCTTGCCTCCCAAAGTGCTGGGGTTATAGGCGTGAGCCATCTCGCCCGGCCGGGAGGCATCTTAAAAAAGAAAGATGCCGCCGGACGCAGTGGCTCACGCCTGTAATCCCAATACTTTGGGAGGCAAGGCAGGTGGATCACGAGGTCAGGAGATCGAGACCATCCTGGCTAACATGGTGAAACCCCATTTCTACTAAAAATACAAAAAATTAGCCGGGCGTGGTGGAGGGCGCCTGTAGTCCCAGCTACTCGGGAGGCTGAGGCAGGCAAATGGCGTGAACCCGGGAGAGGGAGCTTGCAGTGAGCCAAGATCGCGCCACTGCACTCCAGCCTGGGAGACACGGAGAGACTCCATCTCAAAAAAAAAAAAAAAAGAAAGAAAGAAAGAAAGAAAGAAAGAAAGAAAGATTCCACCTTCAGCTTCGGTCTTAACATAAGATGCAATGCACTCATTATATCACACTTTATAAAATTCTCACAGGGAGTAGGTCAGATATCAGCTTTCCAAAGAAATACGATGATACTCTAAAATAGCCACTGGTAGACTCATGCACAGACTGCTTTTTTTCAAGAACCAGAAGAAATACCACTGAGACATTGTTCAGGCATTGGTTGCAGGACAAATAGAACAGGAAGCCACCTCTATTATAAATTCCTGCAGGGCTATTGTTTAAACCACAGTAAAGAACCTGGATGCCCCAGTCTGATAACTGGGGCTCTTATTTCAGGAATGGAGTCTTGATGCTCACCAAACCAATTTTTGAATAAACATTTGGACACCCACCTGAGTTGATGATCAAAGAAAGTTCACTCCTTTTTTCACCTACTGAGAGTTCATTACATTCATATTTCGTTTCCCTGTAGAAAGAACAATTGACATAAAATTCAGCTAATTCCTCTATTCATTGTTTATCCTGTTTGGGAGGCTTTTCAAGTTCCCCAGGTTTCTCACCTCCTTGCTTCCTATTTAAGGTCACAGCAGAGGAGCCTCTATTAACATGTGTGAAGAAATCAGCAGAGTTTTTATAGGATTTACACTGGTAACTCGCAGAGCAAAATATTTCAAAGTTTTTTATACAGGACCCATGGAACATCACCCTTCCAGAAGCCAGCAAGGTAAGGCTATCAAAAGGTTTGAAGATGGCCTAACAGGGCTAAGGAATGGAGAAGAGGATGGGCCTTCTCTGCCTTGTCATCTTCAGGAGAAGAAGTGCATTTGATGTGCTAACATCTAAGCCAGTGGTGGGCTTATCCAGAAACAGAACAGTTATAGCTCTCATCACCTCCATTGCAATGCTGGGCTTCTTTCTCTGTCCTCCAGACACACCCCAAATGACCTGGTTTTCTACATTGGAGTCTGCTAATTTTGCTGAAGGCCACCTCTTGAATGGTTTTGTTAATGTGTGTTTGTTTTTTTGTTTTTGTTTTTTTGTTTGTTTCTTGCCTGACTGTTTATACTTGTTGACAGCCGAAGGGCTGCTGAAAATTTTTTCCTTAACCATCGCTCCCATCGCTATACCATCTGAGACTACATAATCTGAGATACCTTTTTTGTTGTTGTTGTTGTTGAGATAGCGTCTCAATCTGTCGCCCAGGCTGGAGTGCAGTGGTGTGATCTTGGCTCACTGCAACTTCCACCTCTTGGGTGCAAGTGATCTTGTCAGCCTCCCCAGTAGCTGGGACTACAAGCACACACCACCACCCCTGGCTAATTTTTGCATTTTTAGTAGAGACGGGGTTTCACTGTATTGCCCACGCTGGTTTCGAACTCCCAGCCTCAAGCAATCCCCTGGCCTCAGCCTCTCAAAGTGTTAGGATTACAGGCATAAGCCATTGCGCCCAGTCTTGAGATACTTTTGAAGTTCCAGGTTGCAGGGTTTCATTTAGCAAAACATCTGCAGAGAGACCACAGGAATCCTTCCTTGCCTCCACCAGAGGGTCCCAGGATAGTATTAAAACCAGGTTTTATTACCCATTGACAACCTTCAATATCTCCTTCTCAACTGTTTTTTAACCAACCAGAAGCCACTCTTTACCTTCATTTAATAGTAAATACTGTGAAAACACAGGTACATCAGATAATGTCCCTAAGTTTTTGGAGGGCCCAGCAGGTAGACCATTAACACTGGTTGTTGTTGTTGTTGTTTTTAAGTGATGGGGCCTGGCTACCTTGGCCAAGTTGGTCTTCAACTCCTGGCTTCAAGCAATCCTCCCAACTCAGCCTCCTAAAGTGAGGGCATTACAGGTGTGAGCCACAGCACCCAGCCTGTCAGTGCTTGTTTTTGATCTTGGGAAAATAAAAACGTTTTTTGCAGACATGTAGAAATTGTTTTTTTCCACTGTGCTGCCATGGGATGAAATTAACTTTTCACATAGAACCCTAAATTGAATTCTGATTTATGAAACTGCTAGGGCCACTTCTTTTCTGCTATGGAAAATAATCTCTGCTTAGTCTTCAATGTTAGAACATTTACATGCATACATTCACACACAACTATACACACAAAGTACAAACTATGGTCAGGGAGGAAAAAGGACATGAACTATTATCACTCAAATAACGACTCATTTACATGAACCCTACTGTTCACTGAAGAGGAAGGATAGAAATTCACTCATTCATTCAATAAAGATCCATTGTGCACCTAATTTTTTTTTTTTTTTTTTTTTGACGGTATCTCACTCTGTCGCCCAGGCTGGAGTGCAATAGCATGACCTCCCTCACTGCAACTTCCGCCTCCCAGGTTCAAGCAATTCTCCTGCCTCAGCATCCTGAGGAACTGGGATTACAGTTGCATGCCACCACACAGGCTAATTTTTGTATTTTTAGTAGAGACGGGGTTTCACCACGTGGGCCAGGCTGGAATGCACCTAGTTTATGTTAGAGACTGTTCATGTCACGAAGAATAAAGTGCTAAGTAAAACAGTCTCTACCGTCATACAACTTAGATTATTAGTAGACGAGTGCCCATTGGTTGACGACAAAGTAACAAATCAGAGAGAGAGAGAGAGAGAAAGAAAGAGAGAATGAGAAAGAGTAGAAGAAACACACAAGAAACTAACTAATTAACATATAAGTAAGTTAATATCATGTGGTGGAAGTGTTATGAAGCCAAATTAAGCAGGATAATGGGAAGAGAGTGTCCACGGGTGTCATCTGAGATAAAGTGATCAGGAAAACCTCTCTATGGAGAAAACATCGACCAGGGACCTGTATGAAGTAAGGGATGGAGCCGTGCAGACATCTGGAGAAAGAGCATCCAAAGCGGAGAGAAAAAGGCAGGCTGCAGTGGCTCATATCTGTAATTCCAGCACTTTCGGAGGCCAAGGCTGCCGGATCACTTGAGGCCAGGAGTTCAAGACCAGCCTGGACAAAGTGGTGAAACCCCATCTCTACTAAAATTACAAAAATCAGCCAGGCGTGGTGGCGCATGCCTGTAATCCCAATCACTCAGGAGGCTGAGGCAGGAGAATTGCTTGAACCCGGGAGGTGGAGGTTGCATTGAGCCGAGATCGTGCCACTGTACTCTAGCCTGGCAACAAAGCAAGACTCCATCTCAGAAAAATAAAATAAAATAAAGTTTAAAATGACAGTCATTTTATATTAATTGGATATTGACTATGAAAGAAAAAGAAAATTAGGAATAACTCTAAATGTTTTGGCTTAAATAATAAGGGGATGGTTGTACAGTTTAATCAGGCAGAAAGCACTTAAGAAGGAGTAGATTATTGGGGGAATAATAGAATCTTGGTTTAAGGCATGTCATGTCTATAATGCCCAATAGACGTGCAAATGGAGAGATTTCTCTCCCCTACAGAAGCCTATCTCGCCTTAATTCTGAAAGTCATAGCTCAAATACAGCTGAAACTAGGCACAATTTTGAAACTAGACGCAATATTTGGTAGGAACTCAAATAAAATCATTTTAGAGACCACTCAGCCACTTTTTTAAACATTACATTATACTTCATTCAGCTAAAAATCAAACAAACTAACAAAACATGACCTTCAATGTAAGTGGGGCAAATGGTTTTGTTGACCTGTTTTTCCTTTAATATAAGTAACAGAATCTTCACCGTTAGCATCACATTGTTTATTACTTAGAAAAAGAAAGAAAGAAAAAACAATAATGAACCTTCAAGGTGAAAGTGTTTTACATAGTTCAAAACTATTTTTTGAAATCCCAGTTTTTCCAAGATATAAAAGAGTCATTGCTTAATTCCTTCCCCATGTCAAGAATGAAGTATGACATATCTACAAAAATATAAACCACAAAAAACACAGGAGACGATATGCTATCCTACAGAGAGCATACATAGATATAAAACATACAGATAGATATAAAACACAAAATTTCTCCTACACATAGGAAAGTAAGCCATGTTATTTCAAAATACTTTTGAATGCAACTTCTTCGTCTTTCTTTTATTTTGATTTTCAGGCTCAACGTATTTGTGATCAAAAAGTTTGTTGTTATTAGATAGTATAAAATAAAGCAGATCATTTCTGATTATTGCAGATTATTGCTTCCATTACTGGATAAGGAAGTGGGGACTTGGCTGCTTTTCAAGGAACCTTTCACCATGCTAAAGGCAATTCTACTTATCAATGTACATGAGGGTTCAAAGGTTTTAGTAGGAATTTCCCTTTTAACTTTTGAAGCCAGTGAGTCTTCCTTACCACTTCACGATAATTTGCATAACCAAGCCTATCAGCTTTCCATGATTGAATTGTCCTTACAGTAAAGAATCAACTCCATTGAAACAACTTTATAGGCCCACATGACTGATTTTTTAAATCTTCAAGTCTTTTAGGAAATATAAGCTTTTCAAATTTTAGTATTATCAAACCAACTTTGCCTTTCTTTGCTCAATTGGTAGTAGAATGCCTCAAGCCCTGTTGGTTCAACCAAGATCTGTGCCTTGAAATCCAGGTTGAGGGAGGAATTAAATGCTAAACAAAACATCAAGAAATTAAAACTCCCCTAAGAAACATGGTAAATACTATAGAACATACCAAAATACTCAGTGTTCATGCTGAATGTCTGTGTATGTGTGCATGGTGTCACCATGAGAAGATATCGGGGTGTACACTGTAACACAGGTACACTGATTTATTGTACTTTAAAACAGTATTGATTTAGGCTGGACACAGTGGCTCACGGGTATAATCCCAGCATTTTGGGAAGCCGAGGCAGGTGGATCATTTGAGGGATAAGAGTTCGAGACAAGCTTGGCCAACATAGTGAAACCTCATCTCTACTAAAAATACAAAAATTAGCCAGGCGTGGTGGCATGTGCCTGTTGGGAGACTGAGGCGAGAGAATCCTTTGAACGCAGGAGGCAGAGGTTGCAGTGAGCCGAGATCGCACCACTGCACTCCAGCCTGGGCAACAGAGTGAGACTCGAGACTTCGTCTCAAAAAAAAAAAAAAAAAGGAAAAAAGTATTGATTTTCTGTATTTCCAACATGTTATGTAGAATTCTCCACAATAAAATAAATTGTGCTTTTTTGTTTAAATATTCTAACGCATTCATAGCATTTTTCTTAAAGGGAAACGCTATGCTTCTTGGTTTAGAAGAATTTTTTTTATAATAATATTTCATGAAAAATGCAACAGATGCTCTTCACCAGTTTTCTTTCTTTCTTTCTTTTCTTTTTTTTTTTTTTTCTTTTTTTTGAGACAGAGTCTCACTCTGTCTCCCAGGCTGAAGTGCAGTGACATGATCTCTGCTCACTGCAACCTCCGCCCCCCGGGTTCAAGCAATTCTCCTGCCTCAGCCTCTGGAGTAGCTGGGGTTACAGACACGCACCTCCATGCCCGGCTAATTTTTTGCATTTTTCGTAGAGATGGGGTTTCACCATGTTGGCCACGCTGGTCTCGAACTCCTGACCTCAGGTGATCTGCCCACCTCGGCCTCCCAAAGTGCTGGGATTACAGACGTGAGTCACTGCGCCCGGCCTCTCTTTACCAGATTTCTAATTGATTTTAGTATGATAATTTCCTGAGATGGCAAATGGATGCCGATCTTTGATGAAAGGTTTTGGTTGAGATTCTGAGGCTAACTGCACTACATTGAGGAGAGTGGGATGACTGTTTTGAGATGGGAAGAATGATGTCATGAAGGCAGCATATTTGTAACTCTAGAATCATATCTGCTCCCAATTTTTTGTAGTGGTTTTAATGTAATGTTTGGTGTTTGGTCTTTTCCTTGCAAAGAGACTTTATCGCAAAGACAAAATGTGCATGTCAATCTAAGTACATAAATCTTCTATTGTTTTGTCTTCTCTTGAAGGTGGAAGAAAGTCTTTGAGGCACAATACAGAAAGAACAGAGTTTTAAATCTTTTTCTGTGCTTCAAAAAATATTACCATGATACATACTCTGTTGAAAAAATAAAATATATAAATAAGTTAAAAGAGGAACACAAAGATTAGTCATAGACTCACCATCTAGAGAATTACAGTGCTAATTTTTTAATAACTTCTAGACTCATTTCTGTTCATATATTTAACATAAATTGAATCTTAGAGTACATTTTATTAACCTAGCCTTTTCATTTAAGGATATGAATACAGTCATCTGTTCATCTTTTAAAAAATGACTTCCTATGCCATCATTTAAAACAGTTGTACAGTTTTCAATTGTATGGTTATTCATGGTTGAATTCCCCAGGTTGTTTCTAATTTTTCAATTATTATAAATAGTACTATGAAGAACAGTCTATGGATGAATCTTTGTACATATTCCTAATTACTTTCTTAAGATAACTTCAAGAAATGAAATGTTGGGGTCAAAAAATATGTGTATATTTAATAGTTTTGAGATTGTAGGCCAGGTGTGTGGCTCACACCTGCAATCCCAGCACTTTGGGAGGCCAAGGCAGGCAGATCACCTGAGATCAGGAGTTTGAGACCAGCGTGGCCAACATGGTGAAACACCGTCTCTACTAAAAATGCAAAAATTAGCCTGGTGTGGTGGTGTGCGCCTGGAATCCCAGCTACTAGGGAGGCTGAGGCAGGAGAATCCTTGAACTTGGGAGGCAGAGGTTGCAGTGAACCAAGATTGCACCATTGCACTTCAGCCTAGCTGACAGAGTGAGACTCCGTCTCAAAAAAAGAGAGAGATTGCAAAACAACCTTCCAGAACTCTCTGATCGAGTAAACCCATTTCCCTGCACCTTTCACAAAGATCAGATAGAGATGAATTTACTTAGGATATTATGGAAGCAACTACATCTTCTTCTCATAAATATGAGTCTAAAATGTGACAAGAGCCTCAGCGCTATCGGCTATTGTGATTATGTCCTCACCTCTACTTCACTAACCACAAGGGACTTTTTATTTTTTCCTGGCACAAAGAACACATGCCGTTGTAAAGTGAGTATGCCACACCCTGAGCTCTTAAAGTAAATATTTTGCCAGGGAAATCGAAGAACTGGAAGAAGAGAACCAATGGAAATGGGGAGGGCAGTCCCTACCACTCCCGTACTTTCCAAAGGAGCCTCTGGGTGCCGAGCATATTTACTTAATAGATCAAAGGTTTTTAATATGTATGACAGTTGTGGTGCTGATGATGAAATATTGGTAGCTCTCTATCGTAAATCTGAAAATTCCCCTGCATGTGTCTCACAATTGATATGAAGAAGGCAGCTATAGTAATCATCGGACTACGCAGAGAACAATTTACTAAGGAATGCTGATCAGTTAAGGCACAAACTGGAGACCGAGGCCTGCGTTCCTTCATAGCACGTAGCTTCAGGTTAGAGCCAAGAATTTCCAAGTGGTCGTTATGAATGGCGTTAACTAATAGGCTAGCATGTTGACATATTCCAAGTTCTAAGGTGTGATGTGTAAATACTCCAGTTTTATGTGGGTTTAAGTCTTTTACAGTTCTATAGAAAAAGGTCCAGCTGCCCATTTGTATATGGCTCCAGAGTTATTCCAGGAAAATCTAAGCCTAACCATTTGTTTAAGACAATGTATATTTACTATGAACATAATCAGAAATGCGTGCAAAAATTACATACAGAACTATTCACTGCATCATAATTAAAATAGGAAAGGAAACAAAAAATACACAAATAGTAAGAGAATAGTGATTAAAATCATTGTTGGATATCCACAAAGTTCAATATTATAGTATGTTGCCATTTAGTAATCTGAGAAGCATTTTATGCAAGGGATAAACGCTAATGACATAATGACAGACTAGCAGGACACAAAATCGTAAATGGTGTGTTAACTCATTATGGGAAGTTGTATATTTCCCATAATTGTGTATTTCCCATATTTATGCGTTTTAAAAAAAAACTAGAAGGAAATTCTCCAGAATGAAAATAGAAATGATCTCTGGTAGTGGGAGGCGTTCCCCTTTGGTTTTCACATTTTTTCTATATTTATCAATTTTTTAATTTTTAAATTTAATTTAATTGTATTTTATTTTTGAGACAGGGTCTTGCTCTATCACCCAGGTTAGAATGCAGTGGAACAATCACAGCTCACTACAGTCTCAAATGCCTGGGCTCAAAAGCTTCCTCCGGCCTCAGCCTCCTGAGTAGCTGGGACTACAAGCACATGCCACTGCACCTGGATATTTACCCTTTTTTAAAAAAAAGCAATAAACACATGTTACTTATAATCAGAACAGAACAAACTATTTTCAAGACCACATGTGAAACAAACTACGGTTCCTGGTATATGAAGCAAAATAAACTTAGAAATATAGCCGGGCACCATGGCTCATGCCTGTAATCCCAGCACTTTGGAAGCCTGAGGAGGGTGGATCACTTCAGGTCAGGAGTTCAAGACCAGCCCAGCCAACATGGTGAAACCCTGTCTCTACTAATAATATAAAAAGTTAGCTGGGGGTGGTGGTGGGTGCCTGTAATCCTAGCTACTGGGGAGGCTGAGGCACGAGAATTGCTTGAACCTGGGAGACAGAGGTTGTAGTGAGACAAGATCATGCCACTGCACTCCAGCCTGGGCAGCAGAGTGAGAGTCTGTCTCAAAAAAAAAAAAAAGGAAAGAAAAAGAAAGAAAGAAATGTAACGTTAGGCTGGGCTTGGTGGCTCACGCCTGTAATCCCAGCACTTTGGGAGGCCGAGGTAGCCAGATGGCTTGAGCCAAGGAGTTTAAGACCAACCTGGCCAACATGGCAAGACTCTATCTCTACAAAAACGCAAAAATAACAACCAGGCATGGTGGCACATGCTGTTAGTCCCGACAACTCAGGAGGCTGAGGTAGGAAGATGGCTTGAGCCTGGGAGGCAGAGGTTGCAGTGAGCCAAGATCATGCCACTGCACTCCAGGATTCCAACATGGGCAACAGAGTGAGAACCTGTCTCAAAGAAAATAAGAAAAAGAAACAAGAAATATAATTTTACAGAGTTACTTTTATTTATAGCTTTAATACTTTATAGTAAAAATTGCCACGAAGAGAAAGAAAGACCTTATTTCTTTTTTTTTTTTAGACAGAGTCTGTTGCTGCCCAGGCTGGAATGCAATGGGGCGATCTCAGCTCAATGCAACCTCTGCCTCCCGGGTTCAAGCAATTCTCCTGCCTCAGCCTCCTGAGTAGCTGTGATTACAAGCATGCGCCACCACGCCTGGCTAATTTTGTATTTTTAGTAGAGATGGGGTTTCTCCATGGTGGTCAGGCTGGTCTCGAACTCCTGACCTCAGGTGATCCGCCCACCTTGGCCTCCCAAAGTGCTGGGATTACAGGCATGAGCCACCGTGCCTGGCCAAGAAAGACATTATTTCTTAGAATACTTCATACCAGTCTCTCATGAAAATATTACAGTGAGCCTTACAAAATTTTCACTGCCCTCCTAACTTTGCAGATGGCCCTAGAAGAAACATAACTCTGCCAGGAAGACATCAATAATATATTATACCTTGTATTGGGATTTACAGGATAAAATAGATGAAAGCTAATTGGAAACAATTTACATGGCAAGTAAACTTTTAAGCTTTTAGAGAATTTAACTGTGAAGTTATTTTATGTTAGAAAAATATGTCCATAAAACAGTTTGAGAAACACAAATTACTTCATCTCATGAAAGCTAAAGAATCACTAATTAACCATACCAATAACTCACTGTGTTGGTTGGGCAAGTTCTTGCGTTCTCTGGGTCTTAGTATCTCCATTAGATAATTAGAAGTATGCAATTAGTTACTTCCTGGACTCTTTTTGGGAAGTAATATTATATGATTCAATGCTATAAAAATAACATTGGAAAGTAATATCGTATGATTCAATATTATAAAAGAATTCTTTTACAGATCTTACTAATTAGCAGCTTCATTTCCACTCAGTAAGAAGAAATGACTATAACCTCTTACAGTATTCTAGCCTGATGATTTTAATCAGTTTATAACAACAGTTTAACCAGTGGTTTTATAAACATTTTATTGCCTTTCATCATGGTCTGACCGTAAACAATCATCCACTTTGAACCTTGTTCTGTTTCATGATTGCGTTACATCATGCCATCTTAGTCAGCCTTTCTTCTCACAGCAGAAGCTAGGCAAACCCTAAGCTATCATGTCACTTCCAGCTACATACATTACCATTTATGGCCCATTTCTTTAGGGCTTACAGGTGCCCATTAGGAGTGAACCCAACCCTAGAAGCAGATGAGCAACTGGAATGCTCCATCATGACTGCCAGCCCAGGCCAAAAGGCACCAATCTGCTTGGAGTCTCTACGGCACATCAGAAAGAGTAAATGAATCATTGGCTTGATGCGAAAGATGTTTCAACTGTTGTAGAACTAGGTAGGGTGACGTAGTAGCTAACCAGGGAATGACACTAATAAGCCCAAAGCTTTGGATCCATTACTGAGTTGACTTACTGATTTGCCTCTGTCGTGCGGATCTTTCCAAGCTGGCCACATGTAAGGGAGCTTGAGTGAGTGATGGTAGATGAATAAGAATAAAATGTGATTTCAACTGGCACAAAAATCAGTATAATATCTCCAGAAAAAGTCTGAAATTTTTTGAAAGCCAACCAATAGGATACACCTTCCATGATGACTGAGTATAAGCATCTTCTGAGAGACTCCTGCCCTTTCTGAGGGACACCGATCTCCCTTGGTAGAGACAAATGAAGACTGTCAACCCCTTTTAAACATCTGTGTCATACAGAGTAAGCCTTCCAGGAAAGAACCTGCTCCCAGAGATGAGTCAAATGCAGGTGATAATTGTTACCTAAGCTGAGGGATGAACAGGACCACTGAAGGAAAAAAAGTTAAGGCCTGGTGCAGTGGCTCACATCTACAATCCCAGTACTTTAGGAGGCCAAAGCAGGATCACTTGAGCTCAGGAGTTTGAGATCAGCCTGGGCAACATAAGAAGACTCC